>NC_000011.10:30211515-30363030 GCF_000001405.40 Homo sapiens | reverse complement strand
AATAAATATCATTTTAATGGCTGCTTAATGTTCCAGCAAGTGGATATTCCAGAATTTACTTAATGATCTCTTTATTACCAGACATTAACTGGTTTCTAATTTTTTAGTATTACAGATAATGTCATGATCAATATTTGGGGGCATTTTCCACATTTCAGATTATTTCCTTAGGCTAGATTTACAGAAGTAGAATTGCAGAGTCAAAAGGTATGAAAACATTCAACACTCTCAAGAAATATTGTCATACTGCTTTATAAAAGGGTTGGTGCAGTTTGCACTGCCGCTAGCAGCTAATCGAGCAAAACTGCAATGGGACTAAAAACAGTTTATGGAGTTAGACCAGGGTTTCTCAACCTCAGCACAATTGACCTTTTGTGCAGGATAATTCTTTGTTATGGGAGGCTGTCGTACGTATTGTAGTAATGTTTAGCAGTATCCCCGCTATCTGTCCACTAGAATTCAGTAGCAACCCTCAGTTATGACAACAAAAAATGTCTCCAGACATTGCCACATGCATCCTTGGGGGCAAAATCATCCCTGGTTAAGACCTCATGTGTTAGACAAACTTTAACTTTGACTTTCATTTGAGCTCTACCACATACTAGCAAGCCAATGTGGGCAGGTTACTTGATCTCTCTGGCTCATCATTTATTCATCGTAAACTGGGGATGATTACACTCAGCTCAGGAGTTGCTTGTGAAGATAAGATAGTGTATGTAAGGTGTTTCATACAATGCTTGGAGCCTGGTAACAGCTAGTAACTATTTGCAATTAAGATCATGGTGGCAATGCTGGAAGTGCCCTGTGAAAGGACCTGGCTTTTGTGTGAATGAAGGAGAGGTGGGTTTAGTGAATCACTGATATTCATTCATTTATTTATGCACTCATTCAGTTAGTATTTATTGGGCCATTACTACATGCCAGGAATTGTTCCAGGCACAAAGGATACAGCAGTGTATAAAATACTGTCCTCATGGAGCTTATATTCGAGTGGAGAGACAGGCAATAAATGAGATTGGAAAAGTTAATTATATGATATGTTAGGAAAGAGGATAGAAATTGTTTGGCAGGTGGGAGAGGTTGAAATTTTAGATAGGATAGATCTGGAAGTCTCTATCGAAGAGGGACAATTAAGACTTGACTTTGCCATGTAGGCACTGAAGGGCAGTCCAGATGGAGGGAAGAGCAAGTGCAAAGGCCCTGAAACAGAAATGTGCCCAGAATGTTCAAGGACTCACAGGTAAGCCAGTGTGCCTGGAGGAGGCTGGAGAAGGAATTAAGACATTGGGTGAGTGGTTGGCTGGTGGCCTGGTGATGAGGGATTATAGAGACTTTGTTTTTACTCTAAGTGAGATGGGAAGCCTTTAGATATCATTGTTTTGTACACTTTAAAGTAATCTTTGACAAGAAATTGTGGAAGGTGAAATAGGAAATATAAGAGTGTCTATCTAGGGGGTATAGAGTTGAGAGTGGAAAAATGGAAAAAACCTGCTTTTCCATGTCAACAGGTCTTACCCAGCCAACTTCCAAATTATTTCCATCTTATTTTGAAATAATTCCATCTTATTTCCACTGAAAGATCTAACTTGGCTGAAGGCAAGGCTTCGGGGTCAATAAGGAGAGCTGATTGCAGGACTATGCATCACCATCTGATTACCTGGGTGTGCTTCATGCTCTCGTGTGTGTGTGACATTGTCATGGATGCAATGTTCTCCTCAGAACATGGAATTCAACCTGCTGTCCTCTCTCAGTAACAATAATGAAGCTTTTAAAGCATCCCTGAAAGGTATGTCCATTTCTTTTTCTCCTTAAATATGATTGGGAAGTGATTAATTAGAGTGAGAAACAGACAATAACTCAAAAGAACAAAGTGGTATGGGTAGGGACCATAGTTTGGTCTTATGGCTAAAGAGTGATTGGACAAGTTATTGAAACAAATTTCTCTATGTCTTAGGGAATTTGAATGTTGACTTTCTTGGTGAGACTATATCAGTGGTATGCATTTCATAATCATCTTTTATTCTAGTATTATGACTCAGATTTAAGGTGTATCTTTTATTCATGTCAACAAGTATAAACACATGCTTGAATGTTTTTCTCCTTTAGTCCAAGGTGATATTAATCAGAATTCATTTCAGATAAAAATCTCAACATGCACTTGAACTCAAAGGTGAGAGTGCATTCCATTCTGTTCTCACTTTATGGAGCAACTCTTCTGCCAGCTCTGGCTTGGCAACTTGACTCTTTTGCAAAAGTTGGTTCTCAGGAGCTCCTACAGAGTGGAAAAAAATCCTTGATCCCAGTCTTAAAGATAAGAGGGATTAGCTCCTTGGTGCTTCATAAGGTTTGTGACATTCGAGGCGATTCTGTGAATTTCAAAATTTTAAACCTTGTTTATGTTTTGTGAAAGTAAAATTTAAAATTGTTTAATCCAATTCTGCTCCTTCTATTCATTTCAGAGTTATCGTGGAAGGATTTGCTAAAGGACCAAAGACAACTGCCAACCTCTTCAAAGGCAATTTTCCTGCATCAGTGTCACACAGGTAGATTGCTTGGGACTGCATTTATTCATTTCCCAATTTTTTTAAATCGTACTTCACCTTGGATTAATTGCTTGACAATGTCAATCCATTTCTTTGTGGGATCCCCAAATGGGAATTCAATCACTGCCTCTGATCAAGTGGGGAACCTTCATCTGCTTGGGATGACAAAGATCTGCAGTCTCCTCACCCAGCTACCTGTTCATCAGTTAGTCCCTTTGGCAGAATCATCCATGCCATTGGAACACTTGGGGATAGCCTGCCTGATTAGTTAAATTTTTCTTTGTCACCTCGTGAGCCTGCCTTGTCCAACTCTGTAACTTTGAATGTGAGGAAAAACTGGCTGTTTGTGTAAACATAAATGCCTCTTCACAACTGAACACTTTCCACCCTTGTATTAGGATGGTGTGCATTTCCACTGTTTGCCTGTTACTGTCACCCCACAGCTGCTCTGGGAAGCAATGCAGAAGGTTCCCTCCCTGAGTTCTCCGACCACAGTGGACGACTCCAGTGGCTTCAAGAAACATCCATGACAGTACTGGGGATCATTCGTTGGTTTCACAGTGTAGGGCCTGGTTTGTGATTCTCTCTAATGGCAGACCAGGCCTCTGGACCAGAAATGGGGCCATGGAAAGTGGCATGAAAGGATCTCAGCAACAGGAATAAACAGATTTGGTTCTAGCAGTGCTTGTTTCATTAGATATTTCAACCTGCTTAAGTGGAGAAATAGTAGACTTGAACCAATTGAAAAAACCCAGAACGATACACACCAATTTGCTGAGTCCTGAAAAGAATGCAATTCCAAATCTATTCATCTACCGAAACCATGACCCAAACCAATATCACCACCAAACCTACCCACCCCACCAAACACACACTCTGAGAAGGGAGAGAGGATGCGGAATAAGGACCAAAGGATTAAAGAAGAATGTCAAATAATTCTGCATAGTAAACCTGAACTAAAGTAAAATTATATCAATCCTCCTTTTCCCATCAAAGACTGAGCATTCTGGTTAATGAAATAATTTAAGGTACAGTAATTTGCTTTCACGGAAACACAATTTTCCAACTTATGAGTAACTTATATGTACAGTGGGAATCAAAGTATCCTTTTAGTCTTTAATAAACCAAGCATTATAATGAAGATAGTGTCTAAACAGCTTTCTCCTTTTAGTGGTCCGCACCAAAGAAGATAAATAGATGGGCTTAGCTACAGAAAGGCAGCCTCCACAGACAGGAGGTGAATGCATCCTTCTTCTGCATGTGGTGCTGAGAATTGGGAGGGCTTGCAAACTTCACCGGACAGGTGTATCCTTCTTTTGCTCTTCACAGTTAAGGATCTGGAACATTCCAGCTCCTTGGCAGCAAGGAAGGTTACCAGATGTAAAAGAACGCAAAGGGTATCTCTGGAGGAGAAAAGTCTTTCAGGCTCTTGGGACTCTTTGGACCCTTGTTAGAAATTGTGTGTACCCTACTCTCCTGGCCTGAGGAAGAACCGATGCTTGGCGAAGGCTGAGGTTTAGATGTATGGCCACAGTGGCTTTGCAGCTCGTTTTCTGAACCAGTCCAATTCGGAGGCAGATCGAGATTAAGCTCAAAGAGAAGAATTTTAGGCATGGGATAAAACTTAATTTTCCTGATGAGAGAAATGAGAGCTAAAGTGAGAAAGTGCTAATGAAAGATTCCAGGCAAAGAAGGCAGGGCCAGCTGCCAGTTTACAAACTGAGCTTGGCAGACAGACAGTGGAGCTCTGACAGGGAGTTTCTCTGTGCATTTTAGAAGAAGGCAGAATAGATCTAAATGCAGCCAACCTATTGATTTATTCTCTTTGTACTGGACATGGCTTTTTATTAAAGAAAGCAGATATTCAATAGTGTTAACTAGTAATGGGAATTGACTTTTCACTAATTGCACAGACCTTGGCATTAATACACTTTAATGGAACCTGGGCTCTGTGTCCCTCAGATCAATCCCGAAGTTTTTCTCTAACTCTTTCTGGTCAAAGGATATGAATGGCATTGTAACCGAGGAGACCTTTTTTAATCTTTTTTTTTTTTTTAATTCATGGAATGAATAGGCTGAGGAACTTTCTTTTATTCCAAGAGACCAGAGAGAGGGGTAGTTCTGTGACTTCTAAAATACATAGAAACTTTGTGGGTCTGAACTGACTTTGGAGCTTGGTGTTGGCAATTTAAAATTCAGTTGTGAAGGCTGGAAAAGAGTTTAGCTTCCCATGCACCTGGCTGGGTCCTGCCCTTGCTGGATTTTCTGAGGCAGACGAATCACCACTTATTTATCATTCATTTGTTAGATTTATTAAAAGTAAATAGGATCCCTGACAGCTGCTGGGCTCATATGCAGACCTGGAGCCAAGGATATGAGAATATGGGTAGCCCTGGCAAACCTCTACAGCAGAATCTGACCTCACCAAAGGGAAAGTAGCATGGCATACCAGATCCTGCCATGGACAAGGACATTCCTGAAGGCCCCAGGATGGCAAATGTCCCAACTCCAGTTCTCCAGGAATTATTGTCAGATTCTTTCTCCAGCCACAGAATATTAGGAGGATCCTCTAAGACAATGATGCTTCAAATCCAAAGCATGAGACTTTGAGGTTCTCAGGGAGGATGTTTGTCTCTTATTAATCTTTGAATATGACAATTCCTGGAGTCAGGGCCAGACAAACCCGGTTTAATTTATAGTTTTACCTCTTTCTAGCTTGGTGGTAATAAGTCAGTCTCTGTGAGCCTCTATGTCTTCATTTGCAAAAAAGAAAGAAAGAAAATAGAAACACATGATTCAAAGGGTTGTTGAGGGATTCAAATAAAATACTGTATGTAAAGCTTTTAGCTCATTGAGGGCTCCTTCAGTGAATGGTAGTTATGATTATCATCATCTTTGAATCCTTCGCACTTAGACATTGGGCATTTTGTAAATGTAAGTTCAGTGAATGGGTTCATTCTTTGATTCAACTAATTTTGTGCCTGTTACATGCCAAGCACTATTCTGCAGTGCACAGACACACCTCCTGACCTCATGGAGTGTACAGTTTGGTGGGAATACAGGAACAGAGAAGTAAATGAATGGATAAACTGTCTGAAATTTAATTTTGGATAGTAATAAGTTCCATGAAAGATATTAAGCAAGATAAGAGGATCGAAAGTGATTTTGTATATGTTTGTGTGACAGAGAGAGAGAGAAAAAGAAGAAAGAAAGAAAAGAAAGAAAGAGAAAGAAAGAAGAAAGAGTATAGCAAGTGAAGGTCTATGGGTGAGACAAATGAATAAATATAAACAGAGATTTCTTCAGGTACTTATAATGCATCTGCCCTACTTGTTTTAATACCTTTGGCCAAGTGTTCACTCAACAACATATCTCTGTACTTGATGAACTCTTGTGCTGTAGTTTCTCTTTACCTAGTGAGGTGAGATAACTCCCATTAGGTGAGTGTCTTTATTTGTTTTCATCCTTGACCTTGGGTCCTTTTTCCTAAAGTGTCCCCCACCTCCATCCCAGGACTTCATCTCAAAAATAAACATAAAAGGCAGGAAAATGCCTCCCTTTTCATATCTGACTTCTGTACTTCCAGGCTTGCCTTCCAGAAGTGGACAGCCATGGATTCAAGATGTGTCAAAATTGGAAGGAGCTTTGTTTCTATTTGGCCCTGAAAAGTGTTCCACAACTGGACTGCCATATTGAATTATTTTCAGCAGTAGAAATTCTTCGATGGCCCATTTCAGACCAGCCTCTAATTTGAAAGTAATAACATTTGGGCAAAGCTTAGATGCACTAAGTTGCTGCCGAGGGCTTGGTGGGCTTTGAGGTAATTGGTTTTACTCAGTTGCTGATGCTTCACTTGGACAAATGAGAAATCAAACTACAGCTCAGTTTGCAGAAAAGCCCGTGTCAGCAGTTTAGTCTGACTACTATTTCAGAGCTTGTTATATTATTGGCAATAAAATGCAACTAATATACTGTTAATTAATATTGCATCCTACAGCTAATTTATCACATTATTAATCAGAGTGATAAAGCCAAGGAAAATGCAGCTTACCTTTAGTGTCCTTTCATCTCTTTTAAACACTTGTATTTACGCACAAATAGGTGTTTTGGTCAACATTGTCAAGTGTTTGGGTGGTCCTGGATGAGTGTATTTTATTTGCAAACAGTAACTTCCCCCTCAGGAATATTTTATTTAGCAAGACAGGACTTAAAGTGAAAGGGTAACCATTTCTGATCGTAACCTTGGCTTTGTGCTTCTAGTAATTATCCTTTAATTTCATTACCCTATTTGAAATAGAGTTGTAATTGGAAAAAAACAATTTGACATTCCCTGATGCTTACTCTGACATGCACTATTTGCTTTTTATTCAAATGTAAATTTTCACCATAATACTATCAAAGAAAGAAAAAAAATTAAGCAAAATTGAAATGTCAGTTGCAATTTCTGACATGCAGGCAGTGTCATTCACTGGTTTTGTCTGGAAGGCAAGACTTTCACTTCAGATGGAAAAAAAAAATCAAACTGAAATTAGTATGCTTTGAGGAGAGGGAGAGATGGATGGCAGAATCACAGATCTATTCCTTTGGGATATGTGTCCACTTTGCACAGTGGCTTCAAAATATCAAACAAGCATCCAGCTATGATTTTTGGATGAATAATCCTTTATGCTTAATATAAAAAACACTTTTCCTTAAAAACTGAAAAATCATAAACTTACCTCTATTTTACCCTAGGCATCTTGAAGGTGTAATTTTCATTTGGAGCATGTGTTAGGCAGTCTCTAAAATGGCTACAATGATTTCTGTCTCCTGATATCACACTCTTATAAACTCTTCTCTTTTGGTTGTGGGCTAGACATTTTGACTTGCTTCTAATAAATAGAACACAGCAAAAGTAATGGCATGTCACTCCCAAGATTAGATTATACAAAGTACTGTGGCTTCTGCTTTGGGCTTCCCTGTTTTGCTTTCTCACATGTTCACCCTGAGGGAGATCAGCCTCCATGTTGTGAGCAGCCCTATGGAGAGGCCTTGTGGTAACTGAGGGAGGTCTCTGGCCGGTAACCAGTTGAGAATTGAGGCCTTTGGCCCATTAACCCATGAGGAGCTGAATCTTGCCAACAGTTTGGAAGTGAATCATCTTTCAGTTGAACCTTCAGATGAGCCCACAGCCCCAGCTGACACCTAACTATTACCTCATGAGAGAACTTCAGCCAGAGGCACCCAGCTAAGTGGCAGCTGGATTCCTGACCAATAGAAATTGTGAGGTAATAAGTGCTTGTTCTTTCAAGCTGCTCAGTTTTGGGGTAATTTATTATATGGCAATAAATAATTAATATAGGGTAGGAGAGAACAAATATTAAACTAATAATTCTAGATAAGTTTGGCTTGTCACATAGGCAGGAAAAAAACATAAACAATGGTGGAGGATGACAACTGCTGTGTTTTTGCCTCAGTATGTTTCCTCAGATAAGTCATATGACCTTTCTGTGCCTCAATTTTCTTATCTTGATCACAGGTATAATTTACACACAAAATGTCTGTGAGTTGGAAATGAAATAATAAATGCAAAGCACTCAGAAAATTTCTAAGTACTGTACATACGTGAAATGATTGGTATTAAAGCTGAGAAATAACTGTTTCAGTCCAGGACTCAGTGTAGGACTCACAGTATAGTGGAATGAGCACTGTGCCTCAGTAGACCTGAATTCCAACCCAGCACCTTTCATTAACCAGCTGGGTGACCTTGAGAAAGCCACTTAAGTTGTATCAGCTTCAATTTTCTGATCTGATAAACCTTTAGACACTGAAAGAAAGGAAAACAGGACAAGTAAGTTTTGATTGATGAAAGCAGCCTAGGAGCATGGGTATAGTAATTGGGACCCTTTGGTCAAAAGTGACAGAAATCCAAGGTGAAATAGATTATCTCTAGGATCTACTTTAGGGTTAAAAATATTGATTTTTTTTAAAGCATTTCTTTTGCTTTCACTGGGTTTCCAACAGAATGTGATTGTAATTTTCTTTTACTTCAGAATCTACTTTTAAGGACATTTGTGGGCTGGAGTGAGTGAAAAAATATGTTTTTTGAGAGCATGGTTAGTCAAGTGAATCCATCATATAGGCAGGCACTGAGCAAAGGGGTTGGGCAATGATGTCTAGATGCTAGGCGTGGTAAAGTTGACCACCAGTGCCTGTTTCTGGTCTTCTGATTCTTCCATCCCACATTCTTCCTATAACTAAGTCAGCCTAGAAGATGTGTGTTTATTTCAGGAAGAATCTCACACACTTCTAAAGTCTGAATTTTGCAGCTATGGCCTTAATGATGTTATGGGGCCAGGGCAGGCCCTTGTACAATCCTGAAAATAAGCATCTCCTTGAATCATTTGCCCTTGGCGCTTCCCTTGCCTCATCCTTGTTCTAGCCATGTGTTATTTCCTTGGTCCCACTGAACATAAGCCACAGGAGTACCCCCTTCCTTATAGGCAGAGTAGACAGCTGCTTCACCAGAGTTCTGAGGATCCTCTGAAGGTCCCCTTGATCACACTGTCTTCCTCACTGGCCTTCACCAATATCCAAAAGTCTAAGCCTGGAGTTACTTCCGAAAGCAAGAAGGTGTTGGGAAAAGTATGCAGGATTTGGAAACAAGAGAAAGGGTCTGAAATTCAGGCTCTGGCAAAAAATAATGGGGAACTTGGGCAAGTCACTTAATTTATCTGGATCTAACTTTTCTATTCCATAAAATGAGGAAGATATTATCTGCCCTCCTTTCCTCTGCATCTTTATGTGGATCAACTGAAATACTGATTGAAAAATCATTTTGAAAATGGAAAAGCAATATATAAGTGCTTACTGTGATTATTAAGGGTTAATACATTATTATCTATGTTAGAAGCAGTAAAATTATCTGTTCACCCCTTGGAACACTGAAAAGAAAGGAGACAGGTTGAGTAAACTTTGATTGATGAGCAAGGGGTGAGAGCATAAGTATATGAGTCAGGTCCCTTTGTTCAAAATGGATAGAAATCCAACTTGAAATAGTTTAGGCAAAAGAAGAAGGAAATTTCTAAAAGGGCATCACACTTAACCTAGAGTAGAACAAGGTGGGAGATGGTCCTCAGGGAAAATTGGAAAAGGAACTCAAATCGAACCATAACTTCACTTTTCTCATGGCAGAGCTTCCTCTTCTGTTATGTAGACTGTCTTCTTCCCTGTGCTGGGAACCTGGCTTATGTGTGCTCCCACCATTCAAATCCTGTTGTTTCTACCAACCAGGAGGAGCTGATTCTCTCTATTGTTTAAGTTTTGAACATTCCAGGGAAGGATGCTGATTGGTTTGGCTGAAGTCAGATACCCACTTCTGGACCAACTGGAACCAAGGAGGCAGAATCTTCGTGGGGACACATAGGAACTGCCTTTCCCAGAGGAGTAGGAACGCCTTGAAGCAGATGCCAAATGTTGTCCTCTGCAATAAGGCCCTGACTAGGTCACTGGCTGCCACATACAGTTGTTTAGGTTGTGCAGTGTGCTGCATGCAGCAGCCCCACCTGGCTGGGGAGAAAGCTAAAATGCAAGGTGCCTGCACAAAAACAGTTCATTTCTAAAAAGAAATGTACTCCAAAATGTGGCAGAAAAAGAAGTTTTGCAAAATGTTAGTCTAAATGAGAGAAGATGGAAGAAGTTTCCACTGGAGGAAAAGATAAGCCTGTGCCAGAAAAGCCTTTGTCAGCCCTTTGCTCAGAGCCCATGAGTGCCAGGCAGTGGACTGGGATGGGTGACAGCTCCATTCTCAGAGGCGTGCCCTCCCCACATTTTATATTGATGAGATGAAATGGGAAATTAAACTCTGACACCAATATGAATAGGGGAAAGAAAGGAAAAGCTACAAAGCGACAGTTCTTTCTTCAGACTTCAGAGAAATGATTGCCCTGCCTAATGTTGGCGGCATGTTCCAAATTGTTTGGGTTGTTAATGTGGAGGAACTCCAGTCATCTTTGTCCCCTTCTGCCAGGATGAGTAGGTGGCATTGAACCCACCCGTCCCTCCTGCTGATGCTGCCGGGCTAATTTTCCTCCAGCCCACATGTGCTAATCCTGACTTTGTCCTGCTCGAAAGCCAAATGTCCTCTCTCCACTGCCTGCCAACTCCTCAAACAGGCGCCCACGGCCCTTCACTCTATGGCCCCAATCTGCCTTTCCAGGTTCCTCTCCTGCTTTCTCTCTAAGTCCATAAATACAGACTTTTGTTGTCCCCTGATATGCCAAACCAAGTCTCACCTTTGAGCCTGTGCTTGGGCTATTTTTTTTTTTTTTCTGCCTGTAATGGGCTGCTTTTTGAAAACTTCCCTATTCATCCTTTACAAAGCATTTCCTGGTTCCCCCCAAGTAAATGCGACTTCTTTTTTTCATCCCCAGAACTCATGTCTTGTACTCCTTTATAGCACTCACCACATTCTGTCTTAAGTCATGGTTGCACTTGTTATATTTCATTCTCCCAGATGAAAAGATCCTTGAAATGAGATTTTTTTTTAAATGGTGATGATAAACACATATATTTCTTACTCTGCCAGCCCTGCTACATATTTTAAGTTATTTAATCCTCATGACAACCTTTTTCCAAATGAAAAACAGAAGCACAGAGAGGTTTAGTAACTTGCCAAAGGTCATACAGCTAACCTAAGATTGAATCCTGGGTAGTGTGCCTCCCTGAGTCCATGCTATTGACCACAATTATACCTCTTTTTGTGGAGGCAGAGGAGTATTTACTGGGAAGCCAATGAAGCTTTTTTCAAGGCAGCAATTTATAATTTTGTATACTTGTTGTAAAAGAAGCATTCAAACTTATATTAACTTCAGATCCTAAAAGAACCCAGGATGGATGTACTTGCTCGTGTTTGAATCCTCTGCAACCTCACTTGGTAATAACGATTGCCATGATGATGATGACAATCATTCCAACCCTTGTATAGAGCATTTGCAAGGCACCTCAGCTATCTCCCTGGATCCTCAGAACAACCTGAAAGTTAGGCACGATCCTTGTCACTTTTACAGATGATGTACTAACCTCAAAGAGACAGTGATTTTGCCTAAAGTCACCTAGCTAGTAAGTGATGGAGCCGGGACTGAAACTCAGAGCCTCTGATCCCATATGTCATGCTTCCTCCACTCAAACATTTACTGGCCTGTGGGTTCTGAGAGCCCTTTACAGTGCTTAGTAGATGGTGCTCCTCCCCGCCCCAGCCCCATGCAGACCCATTTGCAGAGCACTCCATCACATCCAACAATTATCTAAATTGAAGTTGTCCATCCTGCCTTTTAAGTTCTTTTCCAGCTAATGAACCTTTTCAACCAACACAGGGCGCTTGATGTTAATCACATGGAGAAATGCAAGCTCAATCTGTTCACCTTCGAATAGATAGCGCCTAAAAGGTATAGAAATTCCATTTAACTTCTCAAGTCCTAATCTTAAGAATTTCTTAGGGGAAACTTCTTCAACTGCCTGTTTTCAAGAGACTTTCAAAACCCTCAAGCAATTGCTAAAGTGATACTAGAAATGCATTTGCCTTTATCTAGAGACTTGGTGAGTACTAGCCTGTAATTTATCATTCTGTATAACAGAAAGCCTGGAGAATCATATTATAAAGAAGTCTTCAGCTTTCATAGCTGATATGTAAACATATTCCTAAGGCAGAAAAGGACTGGATTATTAGTGATGCCTAAACACTGACCCTGGGGAAAGCGCTCCACATCCAGTTATTTTTAAGGACATATTATCTTTGTGTCATGCAGGAAAGTGCCTGCACCAGCAAGGCCTTGTCTTCCTTCCCAGACTCACATAATCAGTGGTAAAGAGGTTACTGGAGATAGTGATTGAGAACTCAAGCTTTGGAGTTAAGCCAGCCTAGGCATGACCTGCATATTCCTGCATAAATATGGGTATGTGCATATATGCATAAACCTGGTTGTGGCTTATTTATATTACTTAACTTCATTCATTGATTCAACAAATATTTACTGAGCACCTGCTACATGCCAGCCAGTTTCGTAGGTACTGAAGACAAAGGAGTAAACAAAACAAAACTACCTCGGGGTGCTTCCATTTGTCTGCAAAATATAGCAGTAATTTGTCGCACCTCGCCCATAAGGCTGTTTAAGGATTACACCTGAGCCTGGTACCTGGCACATACTTATTAGTATAAAAACAAAATAATGTTTTACCCCATTCTAGATTTAAAATACTTCATGGTTCATTTGTTTATATTTTGAGCCATTTCAAACCCTGTTTTTCAGAAAATTATTGTGGAGTTTCCTTTGATGGGGCCTGGCAGATACGATAAATAGTAGCTGGCTCTTTGGGCTATGTAAGCAGGAGCTGTGGTAGGAGGCAGGGCAGCAGGCCGCATGAGTGCATTTGGTAAACTGAGTCATGGCCAGAATGTGTTCAGGCGGCCTTGGCATAGATCATCACAGAGGCTCTTCATTTTCAGTTTTATTCTGAAGGGATTGTGCTGAGATTACTTTCCCTCTAGAGTTTCTATTTGTCAGGAATACTATTAAAGAGTTTCAAATGAAGCATTTAACAGAAATTCCTGATGCTGTGGTTCCAGTTCATTTTCTTTCCTCTTGCCCACCAGGTCTCAGTGGTGGAGGGTTGAGTTGGACAACCTAACCCACTTCTGCCCAGGTCTTCTGGGTACTTGGCTATTCCTTGGGCTTCTCTGTGACGCATCAGAACCCAAGGCTGTGTGTGGGCCCATCCTTCCTTGGTACACAGATACAGAGACCCTTTGTCTCTGATAGACAAGTGGACTATCCTTTCCTCCCACTTCTGGAGTATCATGCTTTCCTGCTTTACTTCCTTTGTCTTTTCATCCTTTGGAATTCATTTCCCAGTAGCACCTGCCTTAGCACCTATCATTGTCACCTGGTGGGGCCTGAGCTACGGATACTGCACTTCCTTAGACCCCAAGGTGAGGCCCTCCTTCTGTGGCACACTTCCAACCCACCGTACAGGAAATAAAAAACAGCAAAACATTTCCTTTTACATTTCTTTGCCCCCACATTTTGCGATGGGAGGTGAAATAAGAAGCAAGGTCAAATTTTATGAAATTGCCAATGTCAATTATTTCTGACCTAAAGGAAGAAAGCAAAGGAGGATGGAAGCAAGGAAGCAAAAAAGGGGGAAGGAATGGGGGAAAAATCTTGTGGAAGCGAGGGCTAGAATTAGGTAACGACTCATATATTCTGCTCTTTAATGATAATTACAGTTTATTGAATGCTTCCTCTGCATGAAGCACTGGCTAAACAAAGTTTTACATATATCACCTCACTTAATCATCACATCAACTGCGTGAAGCTCCTCTGAACCCCTAAATTATTCCCATTTTAAGGATGCAGTAACTGAGGGTAAGAGTTAAGATATTCATCCAAGGTCCTGCAACATTTAACCACAAAAGTCATGGCTTATCTGCTATATGAGAAGAAAAAGATACAAATCATTAGCACCAACAACTTCCACTACCTTTTAATAGTGTTATATATATTTTCATGATTATAAGAGTAATCATGTTCAGTATAGGAAATTTGAAAATTACAGAACATTTGATGGAGAAAATGAAAAATCATATGAAGTCAAATATAACTTGTATTATTATTTTAGAGTCTCTCTCACTTTGGGTGTTTTCCTGCTTTTAACAAATTTGGAATTGTTCTTTTTATTTTATACTCTGCCTTAAAAATAATTAGCATTGTTATGAATGTTGCCCCATTACTTTAAAAATTCGCCAAAAACTTATTTGGTTATATTATATTGATACATAATATAATATATAAAACATATATAATGATATCCCATTAGCTATCCAATTGTTTTTCTCATGTTAAAAAATTAAGCAGTTACCAAATTCTGGTGTTACAAATGTGATGAACATCATTGTACAAAATCACTACTTTTGACACCAATGGCAGGTGTGTTTGTCATTTAAAGGTGATTTCTTTTCCACAAGAAGTGTCATCACTTACATTTTCTGGTTGTTCGGTCACAATGATCTGCATGGTGTGACCAGGTTGATGGAACTGATACACTGCATTTGTTGGGAACTGACCCAGCCAGACCTGGGGTGTGAGTGTCCAGACCAAAGCCAACTCCAGCCAGGTGAGAGGACTTGCAGCTATTTCCTCCCCTTGGTGCTGTCCTGGGCTCAGCCTGGTGAGGATTTCCCACAGGAGGCAGGGATGAGCAGACTAGAGACAGCTGTGTTGTTCTGAGAGCTCACTGCTGGCTGCCACACAGGGCAGCATCTGCTTTAATACCTAAGGTTGTCACCTGGTGGGGCCTGAGCTATGGATACTGCACTTCCTGAGACCCCAAGGTGTGGCCCTCTTTCTGTGGCACACTTCCAACCCATTGAACAGGAAATAAAACACAGCAAAACACTTTATTTCTTCTTCCCTTCTTTCATTCCCAAACCTTATTCTTACTTGGTTAAACTCACCTTCCTTAATCAGAAAGAAAGGAGGTGGCTCACACCTGTAATCCCAGCACTTTGGGAGGCCGAGGCCTGCAGATCACCTGAGGTCAGGAGTTTGAGTCCAGCCTGACCAACGTGGTGAAACCCCGTCTCTACTAAAGTAATCCCAGCTACTTGAGAGGCTGAGGCAGGAGAATCGCTTGAACCTGGGAGGTGGAGGCTGCAGTGAGCCGAGATCGCGCCATTGCACTCCAGCCTGTGCAACAAGAGCGAAATTCCGTCTTAAAAAAAAAAAAAAAAAAAAGGAGGGGCATACCTTCTTTTATTGTGGCAAGAAGGGGAGAAAGTAGAAACACACAAATTAGACTGCACTGCCAGTTTCACCTCCTGCTTTGTGCTTTTTTTTCTTTAAAGTATGACTTTTTCTCCATATTTTAAAATATTTTACTCAACAAAATTTATTGAATGTGTATTATGTACAAAGCACTGTTTAATGCAATAGGAATGGAAATGACTGAGGCTCTACTGAAAGAAAAATTTTACATAACTTTGCTTAGATTGGCTGCTTATTCAAAAATTTAGAATATTGAATATATTAATTTTCCTAGCTACTAGAAATGTCAAGCCCTTTACTAATAAATTCTAAGTTTTTTGAAGTCTCTAGCCATTTTTAGTTTAGTTTTCCCCCTGTGCCAAGGAGTTTTCTGTTTAACATTGTTAAATTTAGCAAATAAAAGCACAGGACACACAATTAATATTGGATTTCAGGTGAACAAATACCTTTAAATATATTTCATGAAATATCCATAGGTGTGTTCCAAGTATTACTAAAACATTATTTGTTCCTTATCTAAAATTCAAATTTAACTGGATGTCCTGTATTTTATCTGGCAACTCTATTTCTATTGAATAAGAAATTTTCCATTTATTGAGTCTTTGCCTTCGGCTTTTTTTTTTTTTTTTTTTTTGAGTCAGAGTCTTGCTCTGTCACCCAGGCTGGAGTGCAGTGGCACGATCTCTGCTCACTGCAACCTCTGCCTCCCGGGTTCAAGTGATTCTTGTGTCTAAGCCTCCCGAGTAGCTAGGATTACAGGCACCCACCACCACACCTGGCTAATTTTTGTATTTTTAGTAGAGACGTGGTTTTGCCATGTTGGCCAGGCTGGTCTCAAATTCCTTCAGGTGATCCACCCTCCTTGGCCTCCCAAAGTGCTGGGATTACAGGCGTGAGCCACCACTCCTGGCCTGCATTGGGCTCTTAACCTGACACATTTAATGTTTATACATCTCTATAATGTAGGTATTGCTATCCACATTTTATATGCAAGGGAATGGAGGCCTCTAGAAAACAAATAACTTGTCTGAAGTCCCAAAGCCAGCAAGTAGTGGAGACAGCATTCAGACTCAGGTTCACCTGACACCTAGGTCCATGCTCTTTCCTCTGGATTATAAGTACTTATAATTGAAGTATGGACTAGTTTTGGAATATTCCACTTTAACTGTATTTTAGTAGAATATTTGATTTCAAATTGAAAGAACAATCTATATAAGAAGGAGGGTAAGAAGGAGGAAATTTTGCTCTTCTTCCCATAATATTTAGAAGAAACGTTTTATCCCAAAAGCACTTGAACAAATGGCACTCCTCCAACTCTACCTTAAGATACTCATTTTCTAAATGTATAGTTTTTGTTCAAAGTGGTTGAGCGCTTCACTGGAAGTTTGTAGTAAAATATCGCCCTCTTCTGGACAGATGGGTATCATTCAATGGAGATGGATACAAAAGACTTTTTTTTTTTTTTTTTTTTTTTTAATTTTTTCCTTCCAACTTTTATTTTTGGTTCGCATGATACATGTGCAGGTTTGTTACATGGGTAAATCGTATGTTGTTGGGGTTTGGTGTACAAATCTTTGTCACCCAGGTAGTCTATAATAGTACCTGATAGTTTTTTGATCCTCATCCTCCTCCCACCTTCCAACCTCAAGTAGGTTCTGGTGTCTATTGTTCCCCTCTTTGTGTCCACGTGTCCTCAATGTTTAGCTCCCACTTATAAGTGGGAACATGTGGTATTTGCTTTTCTGTTCCTGTGTTAATTCACTTAGGATAATGGCCACCAGCTGTATCTATGTTGCTGCAAAGGGCATGATACTGTTGTTTTTATGGCTGCATAGTATTCCATCGTGTGTATGTCCCAGTACACTTCTTTTTGTTGTTTTTATGGCTGCATAGTATTCCATCATGTATATGTCCCAATACACTTCTTCATCCAGTACACTGTTGATGGGCATCTAGATTTATTCCATGTCTTTGCTAATGTGAATAGCGCTGCAATGAGCATACACATGCATGTGTCGTGTCTTTATGGTAGAACAATGATACAAAGGCTTTTTAAGAGTTAGGACAAAAGTACAATTCGATTATGTATCCAAACACACAATAAATAGCTGTTGTTGTCACTAAGTGTACACCTTCTTCACTGTGACTTCTCAGAACGAAAACAGAAAGACATGTTAGAATTGGCTGAGAAACATATTCCATCCATGTTTATGGAGCTGGCTGAGTGGTGGGCATGGAAGTGGGCAAAATCTTTACTTCCAGGACACACCTTAAGTAACCAAACTGCAATAATACCTAAGTCATCAGAATCACATAGCTTCAATGAATCCTGAACAGAAAGAATTTCACATGTATAAGATGAATGGTCAAAGAAGAATAGAAAAATATCCACCAGCATTGGAACTTTGGCGTCAAACAATCTATTTAGATTCCCTTCTCTTCCACTGATAAACTATGTGACCCTAGGCAAGTTATCTAAATTCTTTAGCTCTCAGTTTCCTCATCTGTGAAATGATAAAAATAGCCACTTATTAGGAAAGGTGGAATAAAGAAATGTGGTAATATCTGCTAGGGTCTGAATGTTTGTTCCCCCAAAATTCATATATTGAAATCCTCACGCCAACAGTGATGGTATTAGGAGGTGGGGTCTTTGGGAGATGATTAGCTTATGGTGACAGAGCCTTCATGAATGGGATTAGTGCCTTTATAAAAGAGGCTCCCGAAAGATCTCCTGCCCCTCCCACTGTGAGAGGTTTATAGCAAAGAGACATTGTTTATGAACCAGGAAGTGCCCTCACTAGACACTGAATTTGGTGGCATCTTGATCTTGGACTTCCCAGCCTCCAGAGCTGTGGGGAACAAATTCCTGTGGATTGTATGCTATCCAGTCTATGACATTTCATTATAGCAGCCTAAAAGGACTAACATATAAAGTATAAAAACAATTTCATTTTCTAAAGTGTCCTACTTTATTTTCACCCAAATTTTGGCTAATAGCCAAGGTTTAGCAAACCAAATTATTTCTCTAAATTTATCCAATTTTAGAACTGTGTATTTTTTCAAGAAAGTCGATATCACCATAAAGATGTTTTGAAGCAGGAACCTCAGAAATAGGTGAACCTATGAACGTCTAACCAAATATACTCTATATTTTTATGTAATTTCAACTGAAAAAAAGTTAAAAAATGTCAATACACTAAAATATCAAAAAAGATGAAAGCATTTAAATATCCCTGTATCACAAATGATTAAGAATATCCAGCTTTATAAAATACACTGTCAAGTATCAGAAAGTCATTATGCATTTGATTTTTTTTTTGGCATCATTATTTCTGGAAATGACATATAGAAAATGTTGAGGTGTGTGCTGAGTTCCCTTTTGTTTGGCAGGAACCAGTTTCACCTTCCCCTCTTTCACACCACAGAACTGAGAGTCCTGTAAGGGTAAAAGGGAAGAAGAACAGGAGCTGTTGATGCTTTAACTTCATTTTGCTAGCAGTGTTATAAACCACAAATTTAAGTCAATGATATGCCTTTAACTGCCTGACAAGTTATTTAATTCAGATACAGCTATTAAAAATTTATATTCATTTGACCTAGGATTGAGTTCTAGCTATGAAACATAGGATGACAGAGAAAATTATCCAAGTATTCTCTGTTTAGCTTATGAACAACAGAAATTTAATTCTTACAGTTCTGGAGGGTGAGAAGTCCAAGTTCCAATTTTCAAACATGCTAAGCACTTTAAAAGCAAGTAACACCAATACAAATACCCTAAATTGGTAACTTAATTACAAGTGCCTTATTGTTATTACAGAATGTCAGACCCTCATGGTAAATTACCATAGGCCATGCTACATTTGTCTAAAGGAGGTTAAGGTCCATGAGAATGGTATGAGAAGATTTTGCAGGGCAGGATTGAAGATGTGGGGGTAAGTCACAGCTGTTTGCTCTCCTTAAAAGATATAAAAGTTCCTGGCCGGGTGCAGTGGCTCACGCCTATAATCCCAGCACTATGGGAGGCTGAGGTGGGCAGATCACAAGGTCAGGAGATCGAGATCATCCTGGTTAACACGGTGAAACCCTGTCTCTACTAAAAATACAAAAATTAGCCGGGCGTGGTGCTGGGCGCCTGTAGTCCCAGCTACTTGGGAGGCTGAGGCAGGAGAATGGTGTGAACCCGGGAGGCGGAGCTTGCAGTGAGCCGAGATCGCACCACTGCACTCCAGCCTGGGCGACAGAGCGAGACTGTCTCAAAAAAAAAAAAAAAAAAAAAAAAAGAAGATAAAAGTTCCCAAGGGCATGAGTTTCAAACAGGCCATTCTACCCTTGATCTTTTATCCTCAAATGAGTAGAGCTAACTTTCCATCTAGTCATTACCTTGTATTCACTTAATGGTCAATCGTGCAAAAAGACAAAATTATTGACTCACATAACTGAAAATTCCAGGTTTGACTTCAGACATAACTGGATCGAGATACCCAAATTCTATCTATCTTGGTCTCTGGCTTCCACTTTCACGTATGTTGTTTACATTCTAAGGCAGATTCTCACTTAGTGCCAAGATTAGCCACCAGTAGGCCTGGTCTTAAACCTGTAAACTTAGCAACCCTCATTGAAAAAAAGCATCACTTCTTCTCTAGTCTCAGTAAGCCTGAAGTTGATTGGCTTTGATTGACCTGGCTAGTCATACATCCACCCTTCTAACATTCATTAAGGCTAGTGAGATGCTACATTCTCAAAGGCCAGGACTTGTGATAAACCCACCCTACAACCACAAAGTAAGGCCAACTGTATCTGAACCACATGGGCTGACTACAAGGGTGGTTTCTCAAAGGCCAACTGCAGAGTGCTAATTCCAGAAGGGGAAGTGATACTGGGCATGCAAAACACTACCAGACTTTAACTGACGTGGAAACAAAAATAAAAACAAAAACCCAAAGCAGATTCAAGAATTTTCCAAGCAGTGACCAAATGGACTTGATAATATGAACAAGAGAAAGGAGTAAAAAATGACTGACTATATATTTTATTGACTCATCTAAGGCCAGATACAGCAAACAATCTAATAGTTTATAATTTATTTGATTTTTAGAGCCAGGACCTGAGAACCAAGTTGAAATAGAAACAAATTAGGTTACTGTATTAGTCAGGGTTTTCCAGAGAAAGGGAACCAACTGGATGTGTCTGCCTGCCTGCCTGTCAATTGATATATTGATCTATCCATCCATCCACCCATACACCCATCCACCCATCCACCCATCCATCCATCCATCCATCCATCCATCCACCCACCCATCAAGAGGTGTAAGGAGCCTCTCAACATGGGTTGTCGGTATGTCACACAGTGTGAGGCTTTGTTTGCCAAGAATTTGTAGTTGAGCACTGACCCTAAAATCTATGTGTAGTTCTTTAAAAGACACAAGGAAAAAAATAAGCATGTTTTTTCAATTACAGCTTTTGGGGATGAGATGGAAACTTTTACTGAAAAAATTAGAAAATGTTTCTTTTTCAACATTTTCTATAGGAAAGTCTATCATCCAATTTAGAGAGGTCAGGAGCTATTTTGGAATAATAAATTTATTTTCATACACCAAACTGTAGGGCCTGTATTTTATGCAGAAATTTTCATTGCATAGTCTCATTCACTAAGTCATAAATGGCTAGATGCTTGCTAGCATTTTTAAAAAACCTCAATATACCACAATTCACTAAGCAATCCTGAATACCTCTCTTAATGCCAAAATTCAATTTGTATTTTATCCAGAATCTTGTAGTCTCCATTTACATGGTACCAGTACTGCTACTATTGGTTACTTTATCTTATGTGACAAAATAACCAATTTAATTTTCAATTACCTTCAAGACCAAATAATAAATTTGGGGTGTCAGAATATAACAAAAAACAATTTAATTTGCATTTTTCAAATTCTTCAGCGTAACTGATTGCTTGTTAACAAAGGGAAACTTAGCCAATTTGTTAAGTTTAGCAATGTTTGCAAACATTAGTTTTAATAAGTCTATTTATTATAAAACGTATCTTAGGCTTCAAAACCTAAGATAGGATAGGTAGATTATGGTAACATTTTTTTTTTTTTTTTTTTTTTTTAAGGTAAGAGTCTTGCTCTGCGTCCAGGATGGAGTGTGGTGGTGCGATCTCGGCTCACCACAACATCCGCCCCTCGGGTTCAAGCTATTCTCATGCCTCAGCCTCCCGAGTAGCTGGGACTACAGGTGTGCCCCACCATGCCCAGCTAATTTTTGCATTTTTAGTAGAGACGGGGGTTTCACTATGTTGGCCAGGCTGGTCTCGAACTCCTGACCTCATGATCTGCCCGCCTCAGCCTCCCAAAGTGCTGGGATTACAGGTGTGGGCCACAATGCCTGGCCAGCAACTCTTTAAAAAATAAAACGTTTGTTTGCTTGTAATGACATGAAATGCAGTTTCTAATCACTGGATGTTTAACCAAGAAATCACTCCCTTGTAGTTTCGAGGAGGAAAAAACACATTTTAGTTGTGGCATTTCACAGAACTGTAATACTTCCAAATTTAAATACCTTTTGTATTTGAAGGTGTTTTATTGCTATCCCAATAATCTGCTTTATCTAGTAAATTTCCTGTATTTTTCTAAAAGTTAAATTATCTTAATAAGATTAGTAAATCCTCACAACTATACCATTAAAAATACACATTGGGACATATACTTTGCAGAGGTCTATTACCTTTCGAACTAAGTATTCAGTTGTGTTTCATGATTTAAAAAAAATAGATAAGAGCATTACTTCCCAAGTACCTCCACTTTATAAAAATAAGTGAAAAGAGACTCAGAATTGCCTGTGTGTATTTCTGTATCCTCACTCACATTCTTGAAAATTAACACCCAATATGGTTGACTGCTGCTGGGCAAGACCTAAGAATGATAGAGAAACCATTTGATTTTGAAAAACATCCACTTCAGCAGGTTATTATATAATTACATGTTCACAGTTAAATTTATAAGTTAAGAGATTAAAGGAAAGTAGTAATAGCTGAGAGCAGTTTTTTTCATGAAGATACCAGATGTCAGCAAAACTAAGGCAGTGTCCTGAATTTTGCACAAGAATGTTAAGCTATAAGCAGGGCAAACATCATGGAGGTAGAAAACCTCTACCAAAATCCAGTCCAGATAAGACATCAGTTTTCTACATTGTGACTCAATGTGTAATCACCTTTTGGAGGTGGAAGGGGTATATGAGGCCAGTGGGATCTGATTTTTCAGGGCAGTCATAGCTCAAGGACTGAGCTGTTCTGGTTTTGTTTTTCTTGAAAACAGCCACCCACAACACTATTTAACAAACCAACCGACACTTTAGCCATACTCAACTGAAAAAGTAAAATGGTTTACAGAATATTTCATACTACCCAGGTACTGCAATACATGTTCAGGAATTCTGAACATCGATATTTGTGAGTACATGAATGCAGATATTTTTCTGGGAAGTTAGTTCATAGCTTTCATCACCTTCTCACAGGGGTCTTTTACTTCCAAAAAGTTAAGACTATAATAGAACTCACTAAAATTATGTTTTTAATAATGAATCACTGTATATATATATATGGATATTTCAAAATTCACTTGCTAAAAATTACTTGCTTGAAATCACGCCAGGGAGGCAGTTTTAGAGTAGACTGTCAGGTTGTATAACAGCCTGTTATATAGAACTAAACATAATACTTTAAAAAGAGAAGAATCCTATATATGATGTTACAAGGTAAATAGCTATTTCCATATTTTAAAAAAAAGGAAAAGATCACGAGATGACATTTTATTCAAATATATACATGCATTTCTACCTTAATATTTGTGACCAACATTGTGTGAGACCAACATTTGTGACCTAACTTCTCTACTAGGATCTACACACAACAGAAATTGTTTATAAAACTTTGCTTTTTAGATTAATTCTAAAATAATTTATAGTCACCTGGAATATTTATGCACAATATAAAGAGGCTCTAGATGATTTCATTATATTCCATATTTCTGTAATTTTATATTACAAAATAGTAAGTGGGCTCATTATTTAATTTTTCCAAAACATAGCTTTATTACAGCTTACTGTAAATCAGATACACCTTTCTCTGTAAACATTTTGTATGCTCATTAAAAGTTTGCTTCCCTAAATGGGCATGATGAACAAATATTAGCAAAATTGCTCAAGAATATTTTCCTTTGAAAAACGTATTAGTCTTTGAAAAATTACAGGTCTGTTCTAAAAAATGCTGCAATATGGCAATTTTAAAGTCATTCATTCCATCAAAAATATTCCTATTTTAAGTAAAAAACCTGATTTTAATTTGTCCCTACGAAAAGCCTAAGCACTGTCATACTTAGAAAAACTAAAAGATGGTAGAAACAATTAAGATCTAATGATCCTAATGTTCAGATAAAACTGGAGTGTTTATGTCCTCAATAATGAAGTATTTCCTTACTTTAGAGAAAGTAATCTAGCATCTGACTTAAGTGAATAAAGCTGAAATATTCTTTTGCCAGTGTTCAGGTAAATCATACAGATCAAGGAACTGACAAGCTAACTGTATGTACTTCTGGTAACAGGTGAGTGAACAGTTAAAATTATTAAAAATATGTAATTCCAAGGCTGAATATGCCATTCCCTCAAAGTAAAACCAGTCATTTTAAAAGCAAAAAAATTAAAAAACAAACAAACCCTCTAATGGTCAATTCAAACTGGCTGCATAAATTGAGTTTTAATGGCTACAAAATCTTTCAAATTGCTAAGAGCACATTTGATTTAACTGAAGGACTGTATTTAGGATGCAAAAAACCCCCCAAAACCCAGATTAGTGGCAATGTCCCATGTGACAAAAAGCTTTTAGACAAAATGACAGCTGTCTTTAAAAAAGTGCAAAGACCAAGGAGGGCAGATCATGAGGTCAGGAGATCAAGACCATCCTGGCTAATATGGTGAAACCCCGTCTCTACTAAAAATACAAAAAAATAAGCTGGGCGTGGTGGCACGCGCCTGCAGTCCCCGCTACTCAGGAGGCTGAAGCAGGAGAATCACTTGAACCCAGGAGATGGAGATTGCAGCGAGCCGAGATTGAGCCACTGCACTCTAGCCTGGGCAACAGAGTAAGACTGTCTCAAAAAAAAATAAAATAAAAGCAAAGAGACGATACCATTCCCCCATCCTCCAAATAGCATCCAAGCAAATTCCAACATCAAGATGCAATCAATTTCCAAAAAATTTATTTATACTCTGTATTAACCAGTGTTTCTCTTTTCCATCCTCACTCCCTAAGGAGTCTTTTTACAATCCTAATCAACCACCCCCAAAATTTTAATACCACAGATATGGTATCTGTTTAAGTACTGTGTGTATATTCATGCTTTATACATCAAGTTTTTGTCCCCCAGAACAATCTTGACAAGGACTGCGTGGCGCTAACAATGAAAAGTTTATAGTATTAAAACTTTTTTATTTGAATAAGTGGGGAGAAGAGAAATATATTTCAGCACTTAGATATATAAATTATTTCCAAAACAGTTTAATACTCAACTAGTCGGTTCTATCAAAATCAGTTTTCCCTGAAGTAAGCACTGTTCCCAGCTACAAGCGATCCTCATTTCACATGGTACTGTGGGACCATAAAAATGGTCCTGCAATCTTAATAATCAATAGGGAAAATGATGATTGTTCCATGACCTTTAAGGTTCTGCTCAAATATTAAAAACTCTTAAGACCAGTTATAAATGTAGAAAAAAATGCAAAAATGTTTAAAAATATTTAGTACACTGTAATTTAAAACATTAGAAATAGAATTAAAGTGTTTTATTTCATTGTAAAAACAAAGTAGTTTGAATAGGGCTTGCCTTTTTTTCTGGCAAGTAACTTACCATACTGAGTAAGCATCTTTTATGTTCACGGCAAACTGCCATACTCCTTCTAAGTTTGGGTCAGCTTCCACCCTTTTATTGCTTGTGCTTTCAATGTTGTGAAATATTTCTATATTCACATTAAATATCTTTTAATGTAAAGTTTTTTTTTTTTAACCATCACTTCCTCTGGGACGTATCTGTCTTTATTGCAACCACTTTGCTTATTTGTGTTGGTAAGTTTGCCTTCACTAAGCTCCTATGAATACACAGCAGCAAGAACAACATTCCCATGGTCAGTGACTTCTTCTACAAATTCATTTATGTTTGATTAAAATTTCACTTCCAGTGTTATCATTTTTCATTGCTTTGCTGCACTTTCATCTTTGTTGACCAGTTCTTTCGAGTGTTCACTTCTATAGAATGTCAAGTAGATGACAGAGAGACAGCATAACTACATGCTCTGCTGTACGTGAACTGAATTAACAGATGCACAGGGACAAACCACTGGAAGAATTTGAAAGAAATAACATGACTGGTCACAATCATGAAGCATATCTGTTATTTACATAGCGATTTGTAGACTGAAGAGCTAGCAGAGAGGTTTGTACTTCATGTAATTACTCAGTTACAATGTGCTAACTAAAATTTTAACCTAGATTTTAACAACAACAGTTTCCTTACCAGTTTTCTTTCCTTCCTGGTAAGGAAACTGGTATTTAAACTAAATCTAGGTCACTGAAATTTGTGCCCATGGGAAACATGCAAATAGAGGACTGCCTACACCCTACTTGTTTATATTGATCCAGACAGGCTTAACGCTGACTACTGAAAAATAGCCTATCTGAATTTATATCAAATAGTGAATCTTAAAGCACCCAAGATGAAAAATTAGGGCACACTGAGATGGTTTTAAAATCTTTGTCATATGATAATCAAGCTTAAAATGTATCTTAGAGTAACAGATTTTTAGAAATAAAGACCTTTAAAGGCTCCATAGTTTGGTACCGCAGATTATCCAGCATGTTTATTATGAATTATTTCTCCTCCTTCAATTTCAATTTGCTCATACAGCCACTTGCGGTCACAGCGGCATTCAGCTCCACACTTGGTAGAACCACAGGCAGGACAAGCATAGAAACATCCTAAGCAGTCTTCATCCAGGCAGTCACAGAGGTCCATCCCACTAAAAATCAGGAGACCCTGGCTATCATAGACCTTACTCTTTGCTGGTATCACTTGTCTGTAAAATAAAACACAATGAATTATACCTCATAAATATGTTATTTTTGATTTAATTGAAAATACAGTAAAAAAAAAAAAGGAGATAAAATATTTTTAGATGAGGTCATGCCAAAATCATCTATAATTTATCAGGCTCAAGGCTTATTCTATCGTCAGCAGTAAATGAACTCCATGTGAGAAGAGGAGACCTAACTCTATAGAGTGTTGAGACAAATCTAAAAATTCTGAATACGCTTCTTGAAGTGCATAATTTTCCCTTTACTTTAAACAAACAAAAAAGAATGACAGGTTAATAGTGGTTCACTTTATTAGCTACCAACCTCTTCACTGTTTTATCAACACAGTTTTATTTTTATTATAGTATACCACCTCTATAGATTTTTATACTACAATTAATGTTTCTTGTTCTTTAATGGACTCTAGTAAATTTGGCCTAAAAATATTTAAATGACTCAATGGTAAATTTTAACAGATGGAATACATGGCATATATAGAAATGTTGACTGAACTTAGAAAAAAAATTCTGAATGATTATATTAACATTTGTTTTAGAGTCATATTCTAAACAATTTAGTTCTCCCATTCATTATGTTGACTATACAGAACTGCATTTCTATTTCAGACATGTAAAAAATAAAAACCTTGCATTCTCATAAAATGTAATTACCTTTTAGCTGCTACCCATAGAACGGAGATATATGAATTACAGGCACATTTCGGAGGTATTGTGGGTTTGGTTCCAGACCACCCCCAATAAAGTGAGTCACACACACACACACACACACACATATATATATATATATTTTTTTGCTTTTCCAGTGCATATAAAAGTTAAGCTTACACTATAGCCTATTAAGTGTGCAACAGCCTTATGTCTAAGAAAAAAATGTATGTACCTTAATTTAAAAATGCTCTATTGCTAAAAAATGCTAACAATGATCTGAAACTTCAATGAGTTGTAGTTTTTTTGCTGGTGGAGGATCTTGCCCCAGTGAGGACAGCTGACTGATCAGGGAGGTCGTTGCTGAAGGCTAGGGTAGCTGTGGCAATTTCTTAAAGACTACAGTGAAGTTTGCTGCATCAGTGGACTCTTCTTACAAAAGATTTCTCTGTAGCATGTGATGGTGTTTGATAGCATTTTACCTACAGTAGAATGTTCAAAATTGGAGTCATCCTCTCAAATTCTGCCTCTGCTTTATCTACTAAGTTTATATAATCTAAGTCCTTTGTCATTTCAGTAATGTTAACAGCATCCTCACCAGTAGATTCCACCTTAATAAATCACATTCTTTGCTCATCTCTAAGAAGAAACTCCTTATCCATTCAAGTTTTATCACAAGATTGCAATAACTCAGTCACATCTCCAGGCTCTGCTTCTAATTCTAGTTCTCTTGCTATTTCCACCACGTCTGCAACTACTTCCTCCACTGAAGTCCTGAACCCCTCAAAGTCATCCATGAGGACTCGAATCTTCTTCCAAACTCTTGGAATGGTGAATCCTTTCCAGAAGGTGTTCAATTTACTTTGCCCAAATCCATCAGAGGAATCACTCACTGTCTATGGCAGCTCTGGCCTCACAAAACGTATTTCTTAAATAACAGACTTGAAAGTCAAAGTACTCCTTGATCCGTGGGCTACAGAATGAATGTTGTGTTAGGAGGCATGAAACATTTATCTCCTGGGACATCTCTATCAGAGCTCCTGAGTGATCAGGTACATTGTCAATGAGTAGCAATATTTTGAAAGGAATCCTTTTATCTAGGCAGGAGGTCTCTCAAGTGGGCTTAAAATATTCAATGAACAATGCTGTAAACAGATATGCTGCCATTCAGGCTTTGTCCCATTTATACAGGACAGGTAGAGTACATTTAGCATCATTAGGACCCTAGGATTTCGAAGAGGTAAATAATTGGCTTCAACTTAAAAGTCACCAGCTGCATTCGTCCCTACCAAGAGAAACGGCCTGTCCTTTGAAGATTTGAAGCCAGGTATAGACTTCCCCTCTCTAGCTATGAAAGACGGCATCTTCTTCCATTAGAAGGCTGTTTGTTGGCTGGGCGTGGTGGCTCACACCTGTAATCCCAGCACTTTGGGAGGCCAAGGTGGGCAGATCACGAGGGCAGGAGATCGAGACCATCCTGGCTAACATGGTGAAACCCGTCTCTACTAAAAATACAAAAAATTAGCTGGCTGTGGTGGCACGTGCCTGTAGTCCCAGCTACCCAAGAGGTTGAGGCAGAAGAATCGCTTGAACGCAGCAGGTGGCGGGTGTAGTGAGCTGAGTTTGCGCCACTGCACCTCAGGCTGGGTGACAGAGCAAGACTCCATCTCAAAAAAAAAAAAAAAAAAAAAAAAAGAAGGCTGGTCTACATTGAAAATCTGTTGGGTAGTGTAGCTACCTTCATTAATAACTTGCTGCTTCACCTTGCACTTTTATGTTATGGAGATGGCTTCTTTCCTTACCCTCATAAACCAACCTCTGCTAGCTTCAAACTTTTCTTCTGAAGCTTCCTCACTTCTCTCATCCTTCAGAGAATTGAAGAGGGTTAGAACCTTGCTTTGGATTAGGCTTTTGCTTAAGGGAATGTGTTGTAGCTGGTTTGATCTTCTATCCAGACCATTTAAAGTTTCTCCATATTAGCAATAAGGCTGTTTTGCTTTCTTATCATTTGTGTTCAATGGAATGGTACTTTTAATGTCCTTCCTGAACTTTTTCTTTGCATTCACAACTTGGCTGTTTAGCACAAGAGGCCCAGCTTTTGGCCTGTCTCAGCTTTTGACGTGCCTTACTCCCAAGCTTAATCATTTCTAGCTTTTTTTGTAAAATGAGAAACTTGACTCTTCCTTTCACTTGAACACTTAGAGACCATTGCAGGGTTATTAGTTGGACCAATTTCAATATATTTGTTTCTCAGGGAATAGGGACACCTGAGGAGAGGGAGAGAGTCTAGAGAACAGCCAGTAGGTGGAGCAGTAAGAACACCCACAGCATTTATCGACTAAGTTCACCACCTTGCATTAGTGTGGTTCCTAGTGACTCAAAATAATTATAATAGTAACATCAAAGATCATCATAACAGATACAGTAATGAAAAAGCTGGAAATATTGCAATAATTACCAAAATGCGACAGAGATAGGGAGTACATGCTGTTAGAAAAATGACACCAATAGACTTGCTTACCACCGAGTTGCCACAAATTTTCAATTTGTAAAAATAAATAGCACCTTGTAAAGAATAAAGTGAAGCACCAATAAAATGAGGTATGTCCGTATATATATAATAACAATGCTTTTCAAATAAGTGAATTACTTTAATTGTAATTATTTTAACTCTCATGCCAAAATTATTTCTTCAGTTCACTGCTACCTTCTTAGAAACAAATTTTTGTAGTTGAAAGGGATACCTTAATTTTATATGAATAAAAACAAAGGCCTTCATAGGTTTTTACTAATTCTACATTATCCAATTTAAAATATGAACCCAGAAAATTCAAAATTTAAGAGAAAAATAGGGGAACAATGCAGATGTGAAGCAGCAAGTTAACATGTCTTCAGTAACACTTAGCCTACCTGTCTGAACCAGCGGTTGCATTTTTTGTAAGCCTTCTTTTTTCTCTTTTACCAGTTTCTGGAGCAAATTCAGTTTGCCTTCCTGGATTCGTAAATTGTAATGACCTCAAAGCTTTAGCAGTTCTTCCCTGAAGAAAGGTAAACAAATTATCAACTCAAATCTTGACAACAGACAACAGATTAACATTTTATTTAATGTTAAACCAGACGATTCCCTAACATGGAAGACAGTCTGGAACACACAAAAAAGAAAACAAGGTTTTAGAGCCTAAGTGCAAGAAAATTTACATGGCCCTAGACCATATTCAAAGCATATTGGTTAATGTATTAGTAACATTTCCATTATTTTATTTTAGTCTCTGGTATATTAGGAGCAGAGGAGGAAGGCATTGTGAAAACTGCAATGGCTGCTGCCAACACAGGAGAGAAGGCACAAAAACTGCTATATAATCCAGTGGCACATAACTGATTTCCTAACAATCCTGGGTCCTTATTATTGTATTTTATATATTTTTAAGAGCAGAGAATATGATTTCAAGTTCTAGAATAGTATTATAATCTTTTTGAAAAGTTTTGGTGAAACAAAATTTCGGTGTTTAAGGGTTTATGTTTGTTATTTGGGGAGGAAAGAGCTGCAGCTGATATATTCTACAAGAACATTGGATAGATAAGGTGAAGACATCTACAATGACACTATCAGCAAGTATCTAGTATGAACTACAGATAAACTGGGCCCTCAAGATGTTCCTCTGAGAAGACAACAACAGGAAAATAGTATAATTTCAAATTTCAACTATCTTTTAACTTGGTTTAATAAAAAGGAGAAAACTGAGAAAAATATTCCAGCAGTAAGAATTATGAAATAATTACAAGTAAAAATTCTGAGATGTGCTTCTTTGATATACTTGTCCTACACAAAAGATAGCTTTATGAAAACTTAAGTTGTTCTGATATGGTTAAATATGCATGTAGGCATGTCAATAGGAATAGAGGTAAAATATTTAATACTTTACAATGTAAAAATGTATTATTTTTTTTTTACCTCAAGGAGTCCTAAAATTAGCCTTGACCATATCAAGTAGGAATTCAGAACTAGAAGCAAAGAAAATTCACAAGCATTTAAAAAACTCAAGAACGAGACAGTGTCAAAGGAGAAAAAAAGAGTGAAATAAAAAACAATTACTGTAAGTCACCTCTCTAATGTTCCTTTTAAAGCAGTGATTTCCAAGTCCTTCATATAAAGGCGAAGTCATCCTGCTGCAAAGACCCTTGGTGGTTGCCATGTCCCGTGTAGTTACTTTGGTATCAGAAAAGAAACTAAATCCTGGCTTGGCCAGAATATTCTAAAACCCACTCCTAAAGTCTTCGCACTAAAAGTTGTAGCTTGGAGTCTTAGGCATATTTTATTATTACTTTCCCAGGCCTACTTTCTTTATCCCCCAATCTTGACCTTCAGTATATGTGAATAATATTTAGAAACATCATCCACTTTCACCCCTCCTTTTAATTCACTGTATGCTAACAAATTTAGTAATAATGTAAATATGATTTTCTTATAGTTAAGCAAAATCCTACATGGTAGAATTCACAATGTAGAAAAAAATGACTATTACACATACATCTGACTCAGGTTTCCTTTTCTGGCGGTCTTCAGTATCAACATCCACACTTCCATTGATTATCTGTGTGCATTTTGGACAAAGCTTCCAACCAGGTACAAGCTGTCTTCCAAATTTAGCACTCAGAAAAGTGGCATCATCTAAGTCAATTACATGCAAATTTTTTTTGGCTAATTTCTTGTGTATGTTAAATGGGTCACAACATGACTTCTGTAAATCCTCAAATCTGTCAATGTAAATTTTTACATGATGAAAGCAAATTGTATTGTTCCCAGAAAGTGTCATTCCAGTTCTAAGTTGAAGTAAAAGCATATCATTTGATGACAATTCTTGCAAAGTCTTAAAACCTGTGTGACGAGTATAGTAGGTTTTATGGCACTCATTTGTAGTACGAAGCTGGACTCCAACTGAACATGGATCCATCATTCTTGATTCTAGCAAATTTTCCGTTTTATTTTGTCTGGAGGTTTAGGTCATGGGCTGATCACCCTAGAGAAAATATTAAAGAGAATCAAATTTGTGCTGCAAGTTTATCTAGGAAACTGAAAAAGCATTTGATAAAATTCAACACCTATCTAAAAGAAAATAAGGAATAAAAAAGGTATTTATCGAAGTCTTATAATAGACATTTAATAATCAAACAGAAGCGTTCCCTGTAAAGTCAGAACTTCACGAAAACATCTGCAATTACAGATTATATTTAAGACCACATAAGAATTAAAAAGGAGGAAATAAGAAATATTATCCTAAGATACATGAGAAATACAAGAGGTTTAACAAACTATTAGAACTAATAAGAGAATTCACCAGGGATGCTAGAAACCAAAAAACACTGTATCTTACAAAATATGTGACTCTTACAAAAGACATACAACAAGACCTTCATGGAGAAAATTATCAAACTGCAAGACAAAAACGGTACCCTAAATAAATGCAGCTATATATCATGGAGTGGCTCATTATAAAAAATATGTCAATTATCTGGGAATACATCTGTAAATTCAGTTCTGTTACAATCAAAGTTCCATCAGATATTCTACTGCCACCCCCTTGGAATTTAGCAAGCTGGTCTATATGAAAGAGCAAAGGTCTAAGAAAGCCAAGGTAATCCTGAAGGAAAATACAGTAACATATTGATTTACTTTAAACCTATTCTAATTAAAACTATGGTATTGGTATAGTATAAACAAACAGATCCATGAGTAGATGAGGGCTCAGTATATGACATGTGGTACTATTAATCGATGGGTATCACACACTAATGAAGAAGGGACTTTAACCATATGGAAAAACAATTAGATCTCTTCTGCACAAACAAAAATCAATAACAAGTGGATTAAAGATTTAAACATGAAAAGAAAAACTAAACATGTTTATGAGAAAATAAAGAAGGTTTTCTGACATGGAAGTATGGAAGAATTTTTCAAACAAGCAAGCAGATACCAAAAAAATAAATAAATAAAAAGATGGATATATTTGATTATATGTAAAATTTACACATTTCTGTATAACTAAAGGAGAAAAAAAAAGACACTTGAAAGGTGTTAGGATTATTATCATAAATATTCGAGTAACTCCTCACTTCCAAAAATCAATTAGAAAATGACAGAGTCCACTGGAAAACTAAACAAATATAGTCAGGCAATTCACAGAGAAAGAGAACAAAAGCCAATACATGCATACAAACTGTTTCCCCCATAGTTCCTAGGAAAATGCAAATTAAATATCATTTATTAAACATTTGCTTGAAATCAATTTAAAAATCTGATATCTGGTTAAGATGTGTCCAACTCTCACATGCTCCTTATAATAACTTTGGTAGGAATGTAAATTGCTGCAACTGCTTTAGAACATTTTCTGCAATTTCTTGTAAAACTGAGGAAGCATACACCTTGGGACTCAGCTCTTTTCAGTTCTGGGTGTCAGATGGAGAAAAATATCTCCAATAAGAGCACAAGTTATATACGAAAACTTTCAGCATTCACTGCCTTTGGCAGTGAAAGATGACAAATAACCTAATTGTAAAGGATGTGAAATCGTTACTCATACAAGGGACTCCCACATAACAGTTAAAATGAATAAACTACATGAATTACGTGAATCAACATGAATAAATCTCAAAGACAATCTTAAGTGAAAAAAGTTGTAAAGGTTATATAGTATCATCATTAAAGGTAAAATTTAAAAAGATAAGATAGTACATAAGATTTACAGATGAAACATGAATATATACTAAAATATACATAAGAGTAACATATATCACATTTGTGGATACTTCTGAGGGGAAAAAACATTATTTTCCCCAAAAAGATTTACAGAAAATAAGGTTTGGTGACATGTACATAAGTGCTTCACTACTGTCCATACTTTCTATTTGAAATTTTTCATAAATAATTTTCAAAGCAAATTAAAAAAAAAAGTTGGATTCTCAAGAAAATATGCAACCAATGCAACTCATTAGGAAAAAATCTGCTGTTGAGAAAAAATGTGAACCACTGAAATCTGAGTGGTAGGGAGGGACTGTGAAGTCTAGGATTCAGCAATTTTACAAGTGTTTTTAAGCTTTGCAAAATTAAAAAAAAAACAAAAACTGGAGAGAAATCTTAAACACATTTTGATATGGTTTCTGCAGAGAAAAACAATAATCAGCAAAATCATATAAAAAGAAGACTCTGGCCTCAGGTAACAAAAAATGGCGAATAAATGTCTGTGTTTTAGGTCAAAATACTGTATTTACAAAGTTAAAAAATAAAATACACTTTAAAGTGTTAAAATATGTTACTGAACATTTTAACTGAAAAAAGTTTTAAAGCTGGTAAAAACAGAGTATATTTATATTCATTTACTGTGTTTTAGTCAGTTTTTAAAATGAACTAATACAGGTCCCAATCAAATCAGATAAAATGGCTTCTATCACAGTAATAATTAGAAAAGTTTCTTCTAGCCAGGCATTGTGGCTCCTGCCTGTAATCCCAGCACTTTGGGAGGCCAATGTGGGTTGATCACTTGATGCCAGGAGTTCTAGACTAGACTGGCTAACATAGTGAAATCTCGTGTCTACTAAAAATACAAAAATATTAGTCAGGTGTGGTAGTGCAGCTATATGGGAGGTTGAGGCATGAGAATCGCTTGAACCCAGGAGGCGGAAGTTGCGGTGAGCCGAGATCGTGTCACTGGACTCCAGCCCGGGCGACAAAGCGAGACTCTCATCTCAAAAAATAAAAAAATAAAAAAAATTTTTTTTTTCTTCAAACAGATAATTGGATTAAGATAAATTAAGGAGGAGAAAAAGGAAATCAGAGGTAAAGTTACAAGGCAACGAACTATGTGGCAATGTATATTAGCAAATAAGGGACACAATCTGGCTTTGACCTTTCTTATTTTTTATATATATTTTTTGAGACGGAGTCTCGCTCTGTCGCCCAGGCTAGAGTGCAGTGGCGAGATCTTGGCTCACTGCAAGCTCCACCTACCGGGTTAACGCCATTCTCCTGCCTCAGCCTCCAGAGTAGCTGGGACTACAGGTGCCCGCCACCACGCCTGGCTAAATTTTGCTTTTTTTTTTTTTTTTTGTATTTTTAGTAGAGATGGCGTTTCACCATGTTAGCCAGGATGGTCTCGATCTCCTGACCTCGTGATCCGCCTGCCTCAGCCTCCCAAAGTGCTGGGATTACAGGCATGAGCCACCGTGCCTGGCCTGACCTTTCTTAATACAAGGGAAACTAGGACAACTATCCCTCATCACTGTACAGAAAATAATGCTTAGTATTTTGTTAATGCCAGAGATTCTTTTTATTTGGAGGTAATCATCACCAGTTTTTAGCCACAGATCTATAATGGAACTTTTTTTGCCATAAAGCTATTTCCTAATATTCAAAACTTGGGCTACCATGGTCATATTTGATAGGAAAAGCATCTTGGATTTAGGAAACTAATTACTTTAGAAACCTTATCTGTCCATAGTAATAATACATTTTTACCCTTTAGGGTAATTTCATTTACTCTATTAATTTTAATTTTAGGTAAAAAATTCTTTTCCTTAGTTATTGGGGAGTCTCTGTTCCATTAGTTTCCTTTATTCATGGCTAAATTACTACAAAATTCAACAGAGTTCATCATGATTAAAGGAAACTAATGGAATAGACTCTGTAACTTGTGCCAGTGAAGTTGAATACCTATTTCTGAAATTCCTGGCCTCAAGTGATCTTCTCACCTCAGCCTTCTGAGTAGGTGGGTCCTGTAAGTTGTTTACAGGAAGTTCAGTTTTTCTTAGTAACAGGCAGCACATTGAGCTAGCACCAAAGATCTCTACTTACTGGATGCAGAAAATGGGGTCACCAGACTTGGCAAATAAAAAACGCAGGATGCCCTGTTAGATTTGAATTTCAGACAACGAATTACTTCTTTACAGGATCAGCTCATTTTAAAATTAAAATATCCTATCTGATAGAAGACATTGCCAACTGTGATAAAAACTAAATTTTACACAGATTAAAATTCAGCGGCAAACTAATCCCACTCACTTGAGTAAAACTGCACACACCTGAGTAAAACTGCACACACCTGAGTCAAGGTAGTTTTAAAGTCTTCCATAGGTTAGCTTTCTGATCTACGATTAGGCAGTTTGTTCACATACTGTCAAAGAGTCCAAGTCCAGCTAGCTCAAGGAACACCAAATTTCAGACACTGATCCTAAGTGGTCACTGTTTGCATTCTAAAAATCACACCCTCTGGTTGTTCCTCCTCTGTTATATTCCTCAATGTTCTCATTTCCAGCTCTTTCTGACTTCCTCCTATAAGCTAAAGTTCTGCATTTGGGCCTGTTTCCTAGCAACTGTTTTTGCTCATTTTGGTCTGTGTTCTGGCAATGTGGCCTACAGTTTATATTTTGTTTTCTTCAAATGACAGTCCAGCAAGTTCATATTGTTCCTTTCACCTACAGTACAGTGCTATGTTCTTCCATAACGATGATTTATCTGGCCCCTTCCTTAATATAGTTGGAAATGCATTACTGTTTACTCTCCCTGAATCAGCACTGGCATCAGCTGAGACCTCAGTAGAAATACAGAATCTCAGTATCAGCTCCAGACCCAATGAGTCAGGATCTGCATTTCAAAAAGATACCCAAGTGATTTGTAAGCACATTACAGTTTGCTATGTACTGCTTCAGATAATTCAATTAAAAAATTTAAATTTAAAATGTTTTGATATCTTCTATATTTTATAGAAGATAGCAAAAAAGAGTAAGAAAAACACAGATATGTATTTGCCTTACAGGAAGTCTAACTCTAGGGAAGATTATTGAGGGAGAGGAGATTTAAATTCGATACACTAAGGACAGAGAAAAACATCTGCTTCAATAGAAAACTGCACTGTTGAGAGCACAGCCTTTCAGGTTTTCACATTCTGATTACATGGGAAGTCTGATTCTTTCAGCATCTTGGAGCTATTTTACAACTGTCAACTGTAGATAACCAACAGCAATGCAAAATAATTGTCTGTATTCTTGTAAATTCTATCTGCTGAAGGTTCAATGGACTTCCGTCTGACTGTGGAAGCAGCCAATTTTGCCCTCACTTGCACATTTATTTCAATATTCCTGCTCTATAAACATGTCTACTTTTAATTGTCATTTAAACTGGTTATAGCATCTTACCAGTTCCTATTTTAATAATCTTTTAACGCAAGAAAAGATTAATTTGCTCCAAACACTTTGGTCAATATAAAACCTAGTACTCTTCATGGAAGAAAAAAAATCCAGCTTCTTATAGGATAACAAGCAAACCAATAACAAAAACCCCAGTTTTAGAAAGATTCACCATGGTATAAATAAAATCCAGGTTTTCAATACTTTTCAATGTCAAATAATAAAAACACTTTTTGGCAAGTTGAATTTTGCTTGAGCCCTGTGCTGGCTCCTTATTAGCTATAATTTAAAAAATCCTCCCACCCTTGAGTTAGGTAAGACTCAAGGATCCCCCCTTGTTTACCTATGACCAGGCAAAAGAAAGACCCTCCAAATTCTCATTTTTTGCTTCAACTATGAATTTATGAATAATTTGCTGATCTGCTTGGCCCTACAGATCAAGTGGAACAAAATACTTGTTAATCAAACTTTAGTTTCTCTCCTTCCCCCAGGTTCCTGAGCTTTGGCCAACTCTCAGCCAGAGCCAAGGAATAACATTCTCAGATCTACTATTAGATCAAGCCACCCTTATATCCTACTTCCTCACACCAAAACTTTCTAGCACAGTTCACTCCTTGGAGATTCTTGCAGATCTTTTGGTTCTACCCATTGCAAAAGTCCCTTTTCTCCTTTTGTGATAACCCTTTTGAATAAAGTCTCTCCTAAGTCCAGATTTCTTATCTGACATTGTCTTTTAAAAATTCTGCATAGGAGAAAATTAAGACTTTCTGCTGCCTTAGGATTGACATCACTTTACTTTAGTGCCTAAATACAGCATGTTTTGTATTCTAAGATTAACATTTAATATTTTTGTAGCACTACCTAAGAATCAAAAGAGAATGAAATAAATGTAGAATACTTTGATTAGACCTCTCCTACTACCTTAGGCAGTAAACAAAAGTATTTGCTCCTCATACAATTTGAACGCTGCCAGCTCAGGGAATTATCCAGCTTTACTTTAAAACATCAGTAGTTTTAAAGAGTTCTTAAGCATTTTCTCTTGCTGCCCATTACCAAACGGTAAGGAAGGTAGATTAGGTTGAGGAAGCTGAGAAAACTCACACGCGGCCATGATGCTTGCAAGGTCTAGGACATTATCACAGGGGTTTCGGGGTGTTAATGCAGAACACCCCCCCCACCACTAACAAAACAGCAAAACAGCCACTAACAAAACAACAGCAGAGGGAATTGAGGATTAATTAGGGAACTCACTTTTTCTTCCTAAATTTGTAGGGGAGATGCAGAAATACCCGTTCCAATATGTTAATTTCCCTTAACATAGTTTTTTAGTTTGTTACCAGTCTCCTTATTAGTGGGAAAAGTAACATTTAGAGGAAATTTAACAAAACAAAAAATTTACTTCGTTTTTAGGTCAACTGATGTCTCTTTTATGAAAAACATAAAAAAAGTTTTCATGAAATGTTTTATGAAAAAAATTAAAGGCTTTTCTTGGCATAGGGTCTTACAACTTACACAGCGTCTTCCCAGATTATCTCTTATTTAATAAAAATATAATTTAATCTACCCCTACTCCCCAAATCAGGAGCTTTAGTTATGGGTACATACGCCTACAAAAGTCACGCATCCTGCAACTGTGAACTTTTTGTGCCTGTCATCTTCAAATACTGATTACCTATAACATGACAATTGGCCCAAAGGCAAAGAGGAGAGTCTCAATCCTCAGGAAGATCTAGGTACAATAAGAAAGGTAAAGGCAATTTAAAACAAAAATATAGTCCATAACACCATTGAAAAGATTTGGTTCAAGTGTGGTAGTCAGGACATGCCAGGTACAGTGCTTAGGGCAAACATCATTTCAGGAACCTTCATAGCCACCCTGAGGAAAGTACTATCATTCTCATTTACAGATGAAGAAACTCAAGCCTAGAGCTGTTGTTATCATGCCTAACAGAGTGCCCCCAAACCCTGCAATGATTCCCAACCCAACCCTGTAAGAGGCCACATACATTTCTTCCTTAGTTCACGGCTATTTACAAATGACTAAAACCACCAGATCCGTCCAGTGGGCACCTACTAAGTTCATGGTACCGGGATGGAAAAATAAACATTAGCCTTTGGCCTCAAACGGCCAGGGTTGAAAGGATTCTGATTTGAAAAATTAAAAACAAAAATAGCAGAGATAAAGGCTGTCTACGGAGTTCAAGGCCACAATAACCCTAAGTAGTTCACGTCAAAATCGTAGCTTTGAAGGTCCTGGGCCTACAGGACAGGCGACGACCCTCAGAGAGGTCAGAGGCGGCAGAACCTGTGCTGGGCTTTGACACAAGGCGTTGCGTCGCAGATGAACTACGCGGGGGTAGGGGTGAGAGGCCCCGGCCAGCAGCTGGAAATCCCCCTCACGTGTGCGGGCCTCCTCTTCCACCTCTCCCCGGGTTCCCCCGTTACGCCGCCGGGCTCCCTCGCCACCCAGGGGCCTGTCTCCACTCTCCCACTCCTCTCCAGGGCCTCCCCCGTTCCCCTTCCACCTTAGCTTGAGCTCTCCTCCGCCCGGCTTCGGGCAAGATGCGAGTCCACACAGGCCACACTCGACCGACCGCTTCCCAGCCAGTCCCCGCGCTACCACTGAGAGGACGGCAAGCGCGGGCTAGAGGAGCTCAACGCCACCACAAAGAGACGTCCGGGAGAAGCCTAGAGCGGACACGAGGCTGGCCGCCTCCGGGGACGGAAGGGGCGGGGCGGTGTGAAGTGGCAAATGATTCAAGGCGAGGCAAGAGGTGCTTCAGATGCTGTCTTTTGCAGTCCTCCGAGAGGTTAGGGATGTGGGAGGTCCCTGGGGGCCATCTCTTACAAGACACAGTTTCCACTAAATTGGATCGTATTTGTACATCTCTACACCTGTGCGTGATAGTAAACTTTTGCACCCAAATACCCCGACCCCTGAAGGAGAGTGTGAGTTAAAAGGATCTGAAGAACGGACCCTTTGTTTAAGGTCTCACATTCTATTTCTTTAATTCAAGCGAAATATATTCCAAAATGCATCTTTTATTGTAAGCTATAAAAATAGCTATTACTTCGAGTAAAATGTAGGCTCCAGGAAGATGCTTGTAAATTTTCTCAGAACAGAAATGGTATTTTTATTGTATCCTTATTGTCTGTCACAGTATAGGTGCTCATTAATTTTTAAAGTGGGTTTTATTATCTAGAATCCAGGAGAACTGAAAGTCTCTTAAAGATTCTTGGCCTTTTAATTATCTTAAGGTCGGGATAGCAGGGAAACAAAAACTTGTTTTAAACTCCCAGTGAAAAATGAGGAACAGGTAAATAAGACAAGCCCCACCAAGGCCCAAGCGTGCTAGTAATTCTCTGCATCTACTGTAAGCTGTTTTCTGCAGTGCGTCTATGGTCCTCCCACCACTTTCATACTGCTCGCCGACTAGGCAAGCGATTTGATGCCTAGAACTAGGGAATGACAGAAAGGAAAAAACAATGAATAGTTTCTTCAACTGTGTCTGCAGGAGGTTGCATTCTGTAATTCTTTTACTGTTTACTTTGTGGTTGGCACTTTGTTAAGCAATGATTAGACAAAAACAAAATTTATTTCTGCTTCCAAGGAGCTCACAGACTAGTGAGAGAGGAATAAACAGTTAATCACAGTGTGGTGTGAAAAGTGTCATAACAGAAACACATGGATATAAACAGGATAAAATGATAGGGGCTAAAGCAGGAGCGTTCTGGGAGGAGATTAATGCCTGCATGGAACTTAATTTGATGCAATTGTGACTTCCTAGTAAACTAGGCAAGCTATCCTAAAGGTAATGAAACAGAGAAGGCTCACAGATCAAATTAAGATTATTAAATAATATAGCCTATTCAATTTAAGTATCCAGTGAAAAGGTGAAAGAGTTGTGGTAAGTGGACACACTTAGGATAAGGTGCAAGCAAGTGGAAGGACGCCATCACCTGAATCATGGGTTAAGTAATGTTCATATATCCTATCTGCCACAACAGCCTTCTCCGCTGGTGGTATACTTACGAGGACCAGAGGTGAGGTGTCAGCAAGGAGGCCCACAGGTGGAAAGTGCTTTGGGCCAATGGTACACACCTGCTTTATTGGATAGACGCAGAGAAGTATGCCTGGTCACAGCCAGAGCTTACTCGGTAAGTTGTTGAACAGATACAGGTTTTATTTGCATTTCCTGGGCAGAGCACATATGAGACTATTCTAAGTGTGACCAATGGGTGGCTGATTTAGAGGTGACATAGTTAATAGCCCAGAGATGTCATGATTGCTCATTGCTTAGTTTTTCCATCCCTTTTTGGCTATCAGTGACTCTCTATTCCATCATATTTCTATTTAACTTTGGCATGTCTTATAGTTTACTAACTTACTCTATATATTTTACATAATCCTGCCTATGTTTCACAAAGTACATGCTTACTCATATTCTATATTTAAAATATGCTAGGAGTTTTGCATTTATCTCATAAGCTACTAGCTTAGTTACTGTCTATAGTTAACACTTCTTACGCCTTTCATCCATCCCTAAGGAAACTGCAAAGCCTTTCAGTATGGGTAGAGTGGAAAGCTGGAAAGGCGCATAGGTAACAAATAATGCCCTTTTTATGCCATATTAGAGATACTGAATTTTAACCTGTGAAAACTGTAAAACTATCAGGAGTGTAGAGAATAGAAGAGAGGTGCGGTCCTGGGCTAGAGGGCCAGGTGGAAACTCTTGCCCTAACGCAGATGATTAAGAAGAGGGCCTCCATCAAGTGAGGCAGTGGCTCTATGGGTTGAAATGTGATTCCCTCCCACTCACCTCCTCCCACTGGATTTGGTAATGTCTAGAAACATTGTGGCTGTACCAGCAAGGGGTGCTACTAGTATCTAGAGGGGTAAAGGACAGGGTAACTGCTAAACACTTAACAATGCACAGGACAACCTCCCTCCTCCAACAACAAAGAACTAACTGGCTCAAGATTTCAGTAGAGCCAAGATTGAGAAACCCTAAATGAAGGACATTTAAAAGGCATAGAGATGATAGAAGTTAAGTAAGAATTGGTCAGATTTTTTAACTGATTAGATATAGAGGTTAGGAAGTAGTAAATAATTATTTCAGGTTTCTAGCTTGGATAACTGGGAGGTCAAAAGGAGGAATGGGCTAGGGAGAACAGAGATAAGAATTTAAATACTGAATACGCTAAGTTTTCTCAAACTTATCAAATGTACCTCCAAGTGAAGATATACAGCTGGCAGCTGGAAGAAGAGGGCAGGATAAGAGAGGGATCTCAGCTGGAAGATAAGAGTTTTGGGAGATGTTAGTCTGTGAGTGGTAGTTCTATCTTTGGAGCTGGGTGGGATAGGGAAGATGATACCTATGGAATGTATAGGGTAAAATGAGAAAGAATAGGGCTAAAGATTATTCTAAATTTCTGAGCTCTCGTTCTATTTTACTGAATCAGAATCTCGGTCCTCCAAGCCAGTCTACCAGATCATAATATCTGCAGATAAGATCCAAGAATCTGCATTTTTGGCAAGCAACCCAGGTGATTTTGCAGCACACTACGATTTTAGAACAACAGATTTAGGTCTCAGAAAAGTCTGAGAAGGAGCAGACAGCGAGGTAGCAAGAAAACTAGGGAAGAACAGAGACCCACAAACCAAGAAAGGAAAGTTTAAAGCAGGGCTCTGTCGGTGCAAGAGGTTGTTATAGAGCAGTACTGGCCATTAGAAATACAATGTGAGTCACATAAGCCATTGTAAATTTTCTAGTAGTGATATAAAAAGGTAAACAGAAGCAGATGAAATTAATTTTAGAGATAGCGCTTGTTTAACCCAATAATTAAGACATTATCATTTTAACATGCAATTAACATAAAAACTAATGAGATATGTCACGTCCTTTAATTCATATTATGTCTTGGAAACCTGGTGTGTGTATTACACCTCCAGTGCCTCTCAATTTGGTCTAGCTACACTTCAAATATTCAGTAGCCGCATGTGCCTAGTGGCTACCAGAGTGGATAGCACAGGTGTAGAAAGTCAAGTAAGGAAATAACTCATTTTCCAGCTCAGACTGAAATGAACTAGAAGGAAAATAAAAAGAACTAAATATATTCCTTAGCTGTACTAATAAGATAGTTATAGATGGTGTAATAAGACCTGTTTCAGTGATATGGTGATGGTAGAAGTCAGAATATACCCAATTAAAGAGCGGGAAGTTAGAGATGCTAACAGCTACCTGAGAGAACATCTTCAACAAGCTTTACTGTCAAGTATAAAGAGGCACCCCTTTTTTGTGTCTTTGAATGTGAATTTTAAGATTAAAGAACACAATTCAGTTTTAATTTAGGTTTTAGCAATTACATTTGGATTTCTGCTTCTGCAGAATTACCCTATCACTAGAAATATCTGGAAAATTGAGCATAATATGTGAAATGAATTGGGCACGGTAGCTCACAAGTGTAGTCCCAGCTACTGGAGAAGCTGAGATGGGAGTATCACTTGAAAAAAATATATATTTTATATATTACATACATGTATTTACGCATATATATAATATAAAATATATGATATGTATATATCATTTTATATATATTTATATACTGAATATGTTATATATAATATATAAATATATAGATATATAAAATATATGCATATGATAAAATATAATATTTATATTTTATATACATATATAAAATATATATTATAAATATATAATATGTATAAGATATATAATATATACACACATATATACATTCATATAAATCATAAGTATGTATACTTATACATATTTAGGAAAGGGTTGTATATATACATATACACATATATGTATGTATCTATGAAATCATTGTTTTCAGACATTAGCCAACAGGCAGTGCAGTATCGTGATCCCTGAGAGAAGGGAAACGAATGAATTAAGTTCCATAATGACCCCAGCTTACTATCTGGAGGCAGTGTCCAGAGCCTAGAACAGGGAGGGGAACCCAAACAAAAACCGGTGATTTCACTAAATGGAGGCGACAGAGATGGAGGTGACAGAGATGGGAAGTTGGAGAGGCTGATGGGCAGAGTATCTGAGAGGAGGACATGGCACACAGGAGAGTCTTGGACATCTGCAAGAGTGTTCCTTTGTATTGCGTACTTCCCTTTGGCTCTGAGTACTTATCTGTGCAATGGAAGGATGAAACTCCACGAGGCTAGGGAAAAGACACCAAAAAGCAGTGGGCCAAACAGTTTCTAGTACTTACACAGGGCTGGGAATAGTTTGTCTTCCCATAAGCAGGAGCAGATTGACAGACCTTGTAAGAAGCACTTATTTGTTTCTACCAATCAAAGTAACAGTAGGAGCTGGGCCAGGTTGGTCTTTCTCTCTCTCTTTCTGTCTCCACGTGGGCTCTTTGCTTAGGCTAGTTTGGTCTTCCTCACAGCATGACAGCCAGAAGGTAGTTGGATTTATTACATGGTGTCTCAGAGCTCCCAGGGTTTGTGCTCCAGGAAGCAAGGTGAAAGCCTCTTTGCCTTTCATGACTTAGCCCCTGGAAACACATAGCGTCACTTCCACTGAATTCTCTTGGTTATGTGGGAGTCATTGAGCTTGCCCCAGATTCACAGGAAAGAAACATAATCTTTACCTCTTGATGGGAGGAGTGTCAAAAAACATATTTTTTTAAAATGCTACAATACTTATCCTAATGCATACAATAGCATGGTCTGGTGTCAAATCTAATAACTACCATAATTGCAAAGTAGTAATGAATATGAATATATCCTGAGATATCTGTAACAACTATAATGTGACACAAAAAATTATGTGATTTCTGTTGGTGACAAAGTTATAGACACTGTAAACAAAGTTATTAGTACTGCAGCAGTACTAATAGGCACTGCTAATACTATTATTTGTTGCCTGCCTTTTGTAAATAAATGAAATGCTAAATTTCAATTAGAGGTTAGGAAAAATAAAGAGAAAGCTTGCTAGGGACATAGAACAGCATTTAGGACCTAGATGAAGTTAGAGACCATGAATATGCAGAGACATAAATTAATGATGTGAAAATTTCAATTTTTCTCCTAGTGTATAGTTGCCCTTGTGTGGGACCAGTGAAGGCAGACAACAGAATTAATTTAAGCAAGAGCAGTTGACGGTTAGATGTGTAAGAAGGACAAGAGACAAGAGAGTTTAGGGTTTTTTCATGGAAGTCATTAGATGGTGAGAATCATGAGATAAGACATAAGGTCAGTTTAATTTACTATAGTATTCCAGGAGCCTAGCACTATTAGTTGAGTAAGTGGAATTGTTGAAGTGATAAATCTCTTCAAATAAACAAATGAACGAAAGAGGGAAAGCTGGTTGAGAATGAAAAGAAATGGAGCTTTCAAAATCAAAATTGAAGGCAAGGAGGTGAAATCTGTGATCAAACTGAAACAATGAACAGTTGTGGTCAGAGAGTGGAACTGAAGTTTAGGATATCAGCTAGTGAGGTAGTTTCCTGTGAGAAATTCACAGCTTCTCATTAAACGCACTTGGGAAAGTGCAAAGGAGCCAAGAATTAGGAAAAAAGAGAAACATTTGCATGCAAGAATCCCAAGTTTGGGATGAGATGGCATGTACTCTGAAAGGGAATGAGGGGAATGAATTCTTAGTAATTGTTTTCATTTCCTTTGTGTAAGCTTTCATACTGAATTTTGACATACCACAAAGAAGTACACAAGTTCTAAGTCTATAGCTTGATACATTTTTATATTTGTATAACCACTACCCAGGTCAAGAAATTATGAGCTCCCCAGAAGTCTCTTGTATGCTGTCTCCTAGTTGTGAGCACCTTTTACCAAAGGTAACCACCATTCTAACTTCTTTGACCATAGATTGGTTTTGGTTATTTCTGGACTTTGAGCTTTGGAATTGTACCACATATATTCTTTTGTGTCTGGCTTCTTGTGGTCAGTATTATGTCCTTGAAATTCATTGATGCTGTATGACATCGTAAGCAATTAAATATTTGTCATTGCTGAGTGGTATTTCTATTACGTGAAACCGACAACATTTTCTTTTATCTCTTTCACTGTTGATGGACATTGGGTTCATTCAATTTGGGGCTTCTACAAATAATGCTGCAACAAACATTTGAACATTCTGTCTTTTGGTCCACATACATTTACACTTTCATTTGGATATGTAGTAGGGAGTGGAATTGCTGGATTATAGGCAATGTGTATGTTCAGTTTGAGTACATACTGCTGAAGAGTTTTTCAAAGTGGTTGCATCAATTTACATTCCTTCTAGCACCAATTTACACTCATAAACATACTCACCACCACTTGGAGTTCTCAGTTGTTATTGTTGGCTTTCATTTTAGTTATTCTGGAGGGTGCGTAACTAATTGCTTTCTAAAGCTTCAGTATCCTCCTTGGGGCATGAAACAAAACTCTAAGTGGGCTCTGGAATCAGACTGCCTGGTTCAAATCCTGGCTTAGCCACTAGTAGGATAATGTGTAGAAATTACATTAATTCTCTAAGCTTCAAATTCTTATCTGTAAAATAGAGAAAGTAGCATCTGCCTTATAGGGTTTTTGTGGGGAATAAATGAATATGTGTTTGTGTATGTGTGTGTGTTTGTGTATAACTTTTTATATATATAGTTTAGCATAGTGCCTGGCACATAGTGAGTTCTCAATAAGTGGTAGCTATAATTATTCTTGCTACTATTTATGGACCTCCAGTTATGTCTGAAAACACTGGAATGATAAGCTCACATGTATTATCTCATTCATGACATGGTATATTTCAATCTGGAAAGATGGGTATTAAATTTAAAAGAAGTGGAGTCATTATTTGAACTAGTATCCCCTAACCTCACACCCACCTTGGCCTTGCTTTCCTTATAACAATATTTAAGAGTCAGTTGATTTAAAGAAATGTGATATAGGGGATTTAACTAATGACTGGGCAGAAGGACAGATTGAAACTGTGTTTTTCAGCAGTTCTTCTGATTTGTCTCATTTAAAGTAAAGATTTCAGACTGTTGTGGGGGTGGCGTAGGGGAAGGAAATACAGATTTGTTCACAGCTGCTATTCAAAATACTAGCCATATAACTAGGAAAGAATTTGGCTCAAATAAAAACCCCAGGGCTCTTTATTGCCATCACAATCATTATTGTGTCAATTAGGATTCATCTGGGTGTCCACAGTGTGTTTGGCACAACGTCAAGGAAGGAAGCTGATGGTTACAGGAACCATTTTGGTTACATCTTCGAATGACCAAAATGGTGTGAATTAAATGCAGAAATTAATTATTAAAAATTAATAATTCAACAGCACTGGGAACAAAAAAACTAGAACTGGAAAAGGATTTAACAATTCTGTTGCATAGCTTCCTCATTTAGAGGTTGATGAGACTTAGTTCCGTAAATGGTAATGTTATACAACTAACATATAAATGACAATCTGTAAAGCTTGTACAACCAGTAAGTAATAGGGATAGTCAAGACTCACACCCAGGTTGTCTTTCTAAAAATGCAGTGTTTTTCCTACTCAATCAGGCTGCATCTCAATCTGTAAGAATCATATTCTTAGAAAACTAGAAAACATAATATCTATTTATAATATTAATATCAATTACTTCTTTTGAATTGCTCTTTTGGAAAATTGGTCAAGCCACTAGATTCTACTTGTTCTATCTATTTTGTATTAGTCATTATCTGTGATAAGAAGAGAAGGTAATGATGGCTTTGGTGGGGATGCTCTAGCTTTGGTGGAGCTTATTTAGATGAACATTATGAGCATTCTAAATATTTTTGGAAAAAATTACAAAACATTATAGATATTTTTGAGATTCCTTGAAAAAATTTCATATGGGCCTTTGGACAGATCTTTGAAGAGCAATACTGCCTAAAAGCCAGCAGAGGGAGAACAGAACATTGTTTTGCTAATTTTCACTAAGTTTCTCCTCATGCTCTTTTACATTTTATTTTTCCACATATTTAATACATTTCTTGACCATGAGATAATATTATCCTGTCCTGCACTTTTGGAAAGGGCAGAGGATGCTGCTATCATTGAATTAGAGTTTTGTTTAACTCACTGGTCAATAGGCTATCAAATGAGCTGGGTTAGACAGTTCTTAAGCATAGTCGGAGTTTATTTATGTGGCTTTCACATGTTTTTCTCTATAATAATTGTGTCAATTAGGTGATTTTAAATATTATATATAATCAAGTCAATTAATATAGATTCTCTCACCTCCAATAATTACTGCTAAGAGAAAGTTACGATGTAATAACAAGGTTTGGGATTATCTCATTAATGACTTGATGTTGCTATGTAAGAGGGCAAATGTACATTGACTCAAAAGAAAGTTGAAAATGATGACTTTTTATAATGAGAGTTTTAGAAATAAAATTCAAGTGCCAGTTAGTTGAAGTAATCACCTACTCATTCTTCCAAAAATCTTCAATACATTTCCACATTCACTATTGCTTTGTTTTCTGTATCTTCAAATTTTGAGGTACAAAACTGAATATACTACATACTTGTCCTCTAAGAATTCGTAAGAGACAGACACAGAAACAGATGATCAAAAATGTTAACAGTAGTGTTAGACATATTCATGAGGCAGTAAGTGGGCATAGAACACAGGCACCCAAACCAATAAAGGGAATCTGGAGTGGTTCCTGGAGGAGGGTCATCTGAGCTGAGATTCCTTATTTATGCTTAATTTATATTAATTCATTTATGCAAATGACATTTTTTCAAGGAATCTCAAAAATATCTATAATGTTTTTGTAATTTTTTCCAAAAATTTTCTGGGTTATTCCCTCCCCCATCCACATGGTTATGGTGAGAGCAGCTATTCTGTACATCATCACACTGCATCCCTGGGCCCCAAATGTTTGGGCCATGAGTGAGTACATGAAACATGCTGAGGCAATCAATGTCCCTCCCTAGGATTTTTCCACATGGGACTCACTGAAGCTTGAGAACTGTCAATTGCTATGTTTTCTGCCATTTGATAGAGGAAAACCAATAATAACCACAATGTGAGTCACATTGACATGCACAGGGAGAAGCAGAGACAAACTGAAGAGAATGCGTCTTCCAGAGAATGCATTCTGTTGTTACCTACAATAGATATACAATCACGTCCTTGCTCTCTGTTTCAGGAAGCATCCCAGTATCCTTACAGTAAATTTCTCTTTTTGCCTCCAGTTGGTTTGAACTGGCTTGCTTTCTTCTGCAGCCATGAGAATCCCAGCTGGTATGAAGAGTTACCAAGGCAGAGGAAGGGTGAAGGACATTTCATGGACTGCATGAGCAAAGCCACAGAGACATAAAAAAGCATGGCATGTATAGAGAAATATAAATAGTTTAGTTTTTTTGAAACAAAATGAGAGAGAAAGAGTGCTAAGAGCTTTGGTGAGAGATATGTCATTTTAAAGAGTTTAACTCTACCCTGAAGGCAGTGAAGAGCCTTACACTGGTTTAGACAGTGAGTGACTTGGTCAGATATGTGGTTTAGATAGATCACACTGGCAGGAGTTTCTTCAATAGTTCTCTCTTATCTCTGGGCTTATCCTATGTTCCCTTACCCAGGAACCTGGGGGAAGAAGATGGGACATAGAAAATGTATTATTTCACTAGCCAGAGCAAAGCCCAGAGTTATGACTTTTTATTATTTGCATTTTAATTGCTATTTAACAGTCTGTCTTCTCTTGCATTCTGAAAGTCCCACTGGAGCACAGGCCATGTCTAGTTTGTTTACCATTGAATTCCCAATGCCTATCTTAGTACCCAGAACACATGGTGATTCAATAAAAAGTTGTTAAGTGAATAAATGAGTGAATGAGTAAATAGTGATAAGGTGGAGGAGATAAATTCAAGATATATTTTGCAATAGTCAGGACTTGATGAGTTTTATAACATATCCTCCTTTACTGAGCACTTATGTGCTCTGCAGGGGACGGAGTGCTTTGCATGCATTATCTTATTTAAATTTCACAACAATCACCTGTGTAATATGTACCACAGCTCTTCCTGTTTTTCATATGGGGGAAAAAGAAGATTAAAGAGACCAAATGCTAGTTTGAACCATATGAAATTGCCACCTAATAACTTGCCCAATATAGTTAATGAGTCAGTAAGTACTCTACAAACTGAATGTGTGTTTCCTCACCAAATTTATATGTTGAAACCTAATCCCCAATGTGATGGTATTAGGAAATGGTACCTTTGGGAGGTAATTAGGTCACAGATATAGAGTCCTGATGAACGGAACTAATGCCCTTATAAGGGGCTGAAGAGGTCAGAGTTCTTCCTTCCACCATGTGAGAATACACACCAAATCTGCCAGCTCCTTGATCTTAAACTTTATAGTCTCAAGAACTGTGAGATATAAATATCTTTTGTTTATAAGCCACCAGTTTATGGTACTTTATTATAGCAGCCTAAATGGACTAAGACAAAGTGGTACTGAAACAGTTGAATATCCAGATGCAAAAAAGTAAACAATGATTTTTATGTCATACCACATACAAAAATTAATACAAAATAGATCACATATCCAAATATATCTAAACTATAAAAAAAGGTCTAGAAGCAAGTATGTGAGATATTCATTGTAGTTTTGGGTTAGACAAAATTTTTCTTAGATACAACCAAAAAAACAGGAACCATAAAATAAAAAAATGATAAATTGGATTTCATGAAAATGAAAAACTCTCACTCTTCAAAAGACACCAATGGAAATGAAAAGAAAAGCAACACAGTCTGATAAAATACTTGTAGACGTATGTCTGATAAAGAACTTGTTTCTAAAATATATCAAGAACTCTTATAATTCAATAATGGTAAGACATGACACAATTTAAAACAAACTTGGCTAAAGATGTGAAGACATACTTTGTTGAAGAAAATATATCAGTGGCAATGGTATGTGAAAAGATGTTCAATATCATTAATCATTTATAAAATGCAAATTAAAGCCACAATGAGATAGCACTACACATCTATTATATGGCTAAAATTTTTAAAAATAGTTGATAAAATCAAGCACTTAAGAGGAGGTATGGAGCAAATGACATTCTCATACATTTCAGGTGGAAATGCAAAAGGGTACAGCCACTTTGGAAATGCCATTTGACAATCCTTACAAGTTAAACAGATCACTTAGAAATCTCACTCTCAGGCATTTATCAGGGACAAGTTTAAGCACCTACCTAATCAATAATTTGGATCTGAATGCTCATAGCAGCTTTATTCGTAATGATTGAAAAAAAGAAAGAACCAAAGTGTCCATTGAATGATGAATGGATAAAAAAATAATGGTATGTCCATACAATGGAATAACACTCAGCAATGAAAAAAGCTAATCTACTGATAAGCATAACATGTATGAATCTCAGAAGCATTATGCTACAAAAAGAAGCCAGATGGAGTATGTAGTCTTTTACATGATTCCATTTATATGAAATTTTAGAAAAGGCCCAAGTATAGAGATAGAAAGGAGATCAGTCGTTGCCAGGAGCCAAAGAGGATTGACAGCAGTGGTGAATGAGGAAACTTTTGAGATGTTACAAATGTTTTGTATTATCATTGTAGTGATATTCAAATGACTGAATTTATTTGTCAAAACTCATCAATGGTATACTTACAAATTGGTGAATATTACTGTCTATAAGTTGCACTTAAATCACAGTGGCTAGTGAGAGAGAGAGAAAAGGAGAGGTGAGAAAGAGAGTAGAAGCTGACCTACCCCATTCCACAAGTACAAGTGGCCTGCCTACCCACCTGCCTTAAGCAGAGGAAGGGAGGGGAAACTGCTTTGAATGAAAGCTTAAGAGATGTTTAATATTGTGGACTTGGCAGTTCCACTTTCTGAACTGAGACAATGGTTTGTAACTTGAGTGACCACAGAGCCATCGGTTACCTAAACTGAGAAAGTTATGAGGCCCATGAAGTCTCCTTTTCAGTCACAAAGAAAGATTCTCCTCTGAATAACTTTAAAGGGCCATTAAGAGGCAAAAAACAAAGTTGGATCCCATAAATCAAGCTTGTCCAATGTGCTAAGTACATTGACAAGAGAGTATTTCAGAAAGGTAGCCATGAGCGTCAGGATAGGCAGGCAAGGAAACAAAACCAGGGGAGGAGAAAATGACTGGGAGAAAGTGAAGGAAACTAATGAGCAGAGGTTATTAAGATCTTGCTAAATAGGAAAAGTTGCCAATGTGAGTGAACTAAAAGGATAGAGCTTAGTGTCTTTTTAAATATATATCTGCAGGTTTAAGGAACAATTTCATATCATTTTCCCTTTAGATTTTCATCTTTGCAACAAAACTCACTGATGTATTAATATAATCAATCATTTATGTATTCAACAGATATCGTTAAGTGCCAGTACACTGCTAAGCACTTGGATCTTGAGGTAAATAAGTAAAACACAGCCCTGCCCTCCTAGGATTTACAGTTTAGCAGGAAAGGGAAGCCATTAAATATAGTCATGTGCCATGTAACAATGTTTTGGTCAATGACACAGTGTCTATACAGCAGTGGTCCAAAAAGATTATTCCTGTATTTTTGCTGCATCTTTTCTATGTTTAGATGCACAAATACCTACCATTGTGTTATAATTGCCTATAGTATTCAGTACAGTAACATGCTGTACAGGTTTATAGCTTAGAAGCGATAGGCTACAGCATATAGCTTAGGTGTGTAGTAGGCTATATACATTTAGGTTTGTGTAAGTACACTCTGTGATGTTCACACAATGATGAAATTATCTAACAATGCATTTCTCAGAATGTATCCCCATCATTAAGTGATGGATGACTGTAGTTTTGTTTTTAATTATATCCATGAAACCTAGCACATTGCTTATTATGTGCTTAATTTTTGTTGAATTAATAGACATATTTTATAATGTGTGTATGTGTGTGTGTGAATATCAAAACAATCCTTAAAGCTGCGGAAACTTATTTTCTCTGTTGTGTATAGATTAACTTGCAGTTTTCTCAATTAAAGAAAAGTCTCTAGCAATGTTTGGTCTTGTCTCTGTTCTCTGCATGACTTTTGTGAGTCTGAAGGTATAAAGAAAATCCTATTCACCAAAATGTTCATGGCGTTGGAGAACACAGATATGCTTTTGTCAAGTGAGGTCTACATTTTGTTAGGAGAATTAAGCTTCCTATGCATGCTAAGGAAGAAGACATGTAGGAGCACGAGATTTTGGAAAAGTCAGAGCCTACAGGGTCTGGCTGAGAAAAAGAAAGAAGGAAGGTTGGAGCAACAAGATGGCAGATGGCAATGCGCACCACAACGAGATTCTCTTACCTCTGCGACTGCACAGAACCTTAGAATATCTATAAAGAATATAAATGTGATTGGAAATTTTGTGTAAGATGGTGAAGCTTCTAGATATGAGGGGCCACAGGAGCAGGGTAACCTGAATAAATTCAGAAGTGGAGGCAGAAGAAGGAGAAATCATGGTCTAAAAATCATGGGGTAATTTTGGGAGCTTGATGGGCTGAGTCTAAGCAGAGCTACTCATCGCCTTTAACCACATGGAAGTTATCAATAAAAAAAATAACAAAAGACTGACTTGTCATAACATAGATGTCAGTGGGTGCAAGAAAAGGAAAATTAAAGCCAGAGTAATAAACTTACCAGCTGATGCTGTGGAGGCTGAGGGGGCTGGTGACTGGATCTAGCCACTAGGAACTAGGGGCTGTAGCTTTGAAGGTCTCCTGGAGACAAGAGATAAGGCTTTGACTTGTGTGAGGCAGAAAGTTGGACCTGAGACCCCAGCATAAAGGCAGAATCATAGAATTGCTGTCTGTCAGTGAAGGAGGAATTAGAAAAACTAAACACTAAAACTTAAAAAAAAAAACTCCCAGAGAAATCAAAGCTCAAGGTTTTTCCATATTCAACTGTGAAGTCTCAATTGACAGTCTTCCTAGGGTTTTATAATAAACAATAATCCTTCACACCAGTGAAGTTCTGGGGTGTCCGGCAGAAGCAAAACTCTGTATAGCTACACTTCCAACAGTCCAGGGTGATAAAGAACTACCAACAAGAGCTTGGGATTAAAATTTATAAATCATAGAAGAAAATAATTCAGTATGACAGAGAGTAATTAGACATAGTGAAGAGGACTGTTAGAACTTCAAGGACTTGAGAAACTAGAACAATATGAAATGTATTGCAGAATAACTATGCTTAACATAATTAAAGTGATAAAGGAGTAAAAACCACAAGGAAAGGGTAAGATATTATTATATAAGAATATGTGAACTTGAAAAATAGGAAAGAACTCCAAAAAATGATTTTTTTAATTTTTGAAATTAAAAATTCAACGAAAGAGTTAAACAATAGGTAGATCATAGCTAAAATGAGAATTACTGAACTAGAAGACAGAGATGGAAAAGCTAACCAAAATCCAGCAAAGATAAAGAAATGGAAAATAGGGGGAAAATGGTTGAGAAATTGAGGCAGACTAAATGGGTTGAACATGCGTCTAATATAATAAGAGTTGTAGAAGATGAGAAATGAGATTGGAGAAGAGGCAATATCTAAAGAAATTCCCATAATTAAATGTGTCACGGTTATGAGCAGCATATAGTTAAGCTTTGTTTATTTTTTTCAGTCTGACAATCTTTGTTTTTCGATTAGAGTATATATTCTTTTCTTGTGAGTAACATTACATGCTTATTACTGATATATTTGGGTAGATGCTGACCATTATACAATATCTGTTTTTTTGGGGGTCTCATTTGTTGTATGTTGCCTTTTTCTTCCTTTGATGAATTCATCAAATATTTCTATTAATTATCTTTTACCTTTATCATCATGAGAATTATGCATTCCATTAGTGGCTACTGCTGTGCTGTCCAGTACAGTGGCCATTAGGTACATGTGGCTCTTTAAATGTAAATCAATTAAGATAAAAAAGAAAATTCAGTTCTTCATGTCAAGTACTCAATAGCCACATGTGTGCAGTCACTCATGTATTGGATTGCACATACATAGAACATTTCTATCATTGCAGAAAGTTCTGTTAGATAACATTGATTTTGATAATCTGTGGGTCTATTTATATCATCTGGGCTTTATTTTTGTCTTGTTTCTTGGTCTGCCTTTGTAGGGAATAGAAGATTTCTCATCCATCACAAATTCATGGCTGAGTCACTTATAATAAAAGATTAACATGAGAAAATCTTACAAATTTGTCTAATGTAAGTTTTCTATGACACAGGAGCCTTCAGAAATGACGACTCAAAGAAATAGGGAGAACTGTATTTTTATGCTTAGGTTTGCTGAAGAATGAACAGTCACAGAAGTGTGGACAAAAGGGGGTGTGTTCTAAAGGTTACAAGTTGGGGGCGGAGGGCAGACTTAGGAAGGGTTGTTCAGATTCTTCTTGGCATCTTTATCTTTGAGGATAAGAGCATTCCTTTCTTCCAGGTATAGGGAGGGGGTCTATGGAATTAAGGTCTAATGATCTGCTTCAGGGGAAGATCAGCTAGGTTTTTATGGCCTGCTTCAGGGGAGAAGGGGCAAGGGGAGGGTGAGAGTTACCTTATTCCTTTTGCTGTTTTCTCAAATCCAAGGTGCCATATTTTGGTGTATCGTGTCCTGAACCCCATCTCCTTGGCATCTTTTTATTAAATGATGAATATTTTATATGAAAAAATTACATGTGTTCAGATGATTTTGTCTGTCCCCAGAAAGGGTTCACCTTGTTCTCTGTCAGGAAACTACAGTGAGGAAAATACACTTTAATTTAATCAACAACTGAATTAACCTAAGTTGTCTGTGTTACAGTTGTTATGAACTCAAATATACATCTTGTTTAACCTCATTCTTGGGAGCATAGCCTCAGACAGTCTTAACTGAGAGGCTGGGGTATTTATCTTTTATTAAGTCCCCTTCTTTTTAGCTCATTCATATGCTGTAAATTGTCTTTGTCACTGTCAGACTATTGAAAATGATTTTTCCTTTAAGTGGCATTCTGCTTAGATTCTTAGCCGGTTGCTTTGTGTATCTTAAAAATGTAACTGTGGCCAGGCGTGGTGGCTCACGCCTGTAATCCCAGCACTTTGGTAGGCCGAGGCAGGTGGATCACGAGGTCAGGAGATTGAGACCATCCTGGCTAACATGGTGAAACCCCGTCTCTACAAAAAAAAAAAAAAAAAAAATTAGCCAGGTGTGGTTGCAGGCACCTGTAGTCCCAGCTACTCGGGAGGCTGAGGCAGGAGAATGGCGGGAACCCGGTAGGCGGAGCTTGCAGTGAGCAGAGATCGCGCCACTGCACTCCAGCCTGGGCAACACAGCAAGACTCCGTCTCAAAAAAAAAAATGTAACTGTGTGTGTTAGGCTTGTTTCTCCCTCTGTCTTTGCTGCCTTGGCAGCTCTAGACTCCACTTTTTGTGTTTTCCGCCCTGCAAAATTACCAGAAACTCTTTCAGCTACTCTGCTTCTCAGCAATTATGCTCTTCCTTAGATACATAGCCTTTCACACAGCACCAAAAATTAGGAAATTCTCCAAGGGGACTCTTACTGGCTCACATCTTTCTGCTTCACTTCTCTTTAGGATGTTGGGCCTTTAAGTCCTAACTGCCTAATTAGCTCTCAATGCTTTTAAATAGAGATTTTTAAAAATCTCTTTTTTTTCTTTGTGGGAGCTGCTATTGTTTGAATGTATGTGTCACTCCAAAATTCACATGTTGGAACTTAACCCACAAGGTGATGGTCTTAAGAGGTGGGGTACTTGACAAGTGATTATGTCATGAGGGCTCCAGCCTGGTGAATGGGATTAATGTTCTTATAAAAGTGCTGGAGGGAAGTAGCCAGGCCTTTTTTTGCCCATTGCCTTTCACCATGTGAGGATGAAGCAACAAGGTGCCACCTTGAACGTGGAGAGCAAGCCTTCACCAGACGTGGAATCTGTCTGCACCTTGATTTTGAACTTTCCAGCCTCTAAAACATGAGAAATAAAATTCTTTTATTTATAAATTACCCATTCTATGGTATTTTGTTATAGTAGCACAAATGAACTAAGACAGAAGCATCATTGGTTTGCTCCAAGTTATGCTGTTATATAATAGCTGGGAATAGAAGCCCTTCCACTTCATTTCCAGTCATGGTTAATTCTGGTTCAAGCTACCAATATTGACAGGAGAGTCATTTTATTATTACCAATGTTTCTGTGTAGTTACATCTTTTTTTCTGTGGCATCAATATGACTACTACTATGCTTGTATCTGTAAATCCTCAACGAAATATTGGGAATGTGTTGGATAAATTCATATGATTTAATGAACCTTATTTTGGGCAAACTTCTGAGAGCTATAATAACAGGTAACATTTATCAACCACCTATCACATGCCTTGTGTGTTGGATATAAGTTGCTTCTAATTATTAACAATAATTCTGCACCATATATATTATTGCCCTAACTTTACTGATAAGAAAGCCAAGGCTAAGAATAGTTAGATAACTTCCCTTTGGAGAGGATCCAGGGTTGACTAACTTTAAAGTATTCATAGCCATTTTCCACCTATTCTTGAGAAGGTACCAAAACCTTAGGAATACTCTGTTCTTCACATCCCCTCAAGCTTAGCTGCAGACTCATTTGCTGTAATTCAATTCAGCTTTCTAGGTGATATCCCAAAGGAATAAAAATAGAAATAGTGACAACAGGCCATGCTTATTGCACTGAGAGGCTCTAAAATCATTTTAATGAGCTAAACCTACTAGTATTAGTAATAGTCTAGTGACCACCAGCTTGTTGTCTGCTTCAGGCAAAGTTTAGTTGGCTGGGCAAAAATAGGAAAATCACAGATGAGGACTTTTTCATTTAAATAAATTAGCAATGCCATAGCATTCATTATCTAGAGTAGCTATTTTTAGCTCAGAGTACCCTGCAGAGAAGATGCCAGACAGAATCTTCTGTCTTACTTGCTGGCTTGGAAGAAAGTCCTCTGACCCCAACACTGAAAGGAAGACAGGATCTGAAAACCACTCATCTCCCTCCCTAGTTCCTTGCTGAAGTGCGCATTCTGAACTACCCATCACTGCTTGTGACTTTGTACTCCCTAGTCTCCTTCTACAGTGGCCTACATATTTATTCCATTCTTTGCCATGTCTTATTCTAATCTGAAATAGAGTGATGAGAACCTAAATTATGATGGTGGATATCCTGCAGTGCCTAAGTCAGATCTTAGCAAAGTGATAGTTGAGGAATAATTCTAATTCAATGAGAGCCACAAGGTTTGTTTGAGACTGTAACTTCATCTAGAAACATCTAGAAAGTGAGAGTCCAGATATTACAAATAAGAAATAAATTGAATCATACAAATGGCTTGTTTTGATATATTCACAGTTCAGAGAATGATGCAAAACATTTTTTTCCTGTCGCCATGGGGTCATCTTTCACTCCAAAATGAGTAATAATCAGATAGTCACCAAGAAATACTTTCTTTCTTTTTAGTCTGTTACTCTCTGTTCTTTTATTGCCTCTGTTTTTTCACATTTCTATCCTCTGTTAGGTTCTGGTACATTTTGCTACCCCAGGAAACCTATGCCACATTTCATGTTTGGATGGCAATGGTGAATTCCTATTTTCTTAAATGGACCATGTATAGAGCAAAAAAATTTTCCTTTGCATCATAAGGCAGCCTTAGAGCATTAACATAGTTGCATTTTTATGAGAGAAGGACTCTGCATCAGAGATGAGAATGGAAAGTGACAGAGTAAAGGAGATAGAGACCCCTATGCTCCAGAATTATTAATGAAGAGAGCAAGATGGCATGACTAATGGGAGGAGATTTGAAGAAGTGTTTTCTTTTTATGTTACAAATGTGAATTGCTCTACAACTCTAGGGCTTTAATTCATTTATTTATTCATTCCAAAATATTTATTAATTATATACTCTGTATCAGGAACTACATCAGACACAAATAGGTAAATATTTGGTAAATAAACAAGATGGGACTCCTGCATTGGCTAATATACAACCTAATTGGGAAGGCAGACAGCCAACGTGTTAAAAACAAACAGTAAAAAGTGCAAAGAAGAAAAGGTGAGGGGTATGGTCATAGGGATTATGTGCAGTGTGGTGTGTGCATGAATTAGTTATATATAAAAATAAAAGTCATAGATAGCATTTAAAGTTGTAGAAATTTACAAGATCAACAAGGGAAAGAAGACACAGAGATAAGAAAAGAGATTCCTAAACTAAGCCCTTAAGAAGCAAACTTTTTCTTTTGTCTGAATAAGGCTAAATCTGGTTTTATCCACGAAGATTGCTTGAAAGTTTGTTATCAGACATTTTACTTCACAGCCTCCTTCCCCTTGCTTGGGTTTTACAAGGACCCTGGGGACTTAGAAGGTCCTTAAAGGCAGACACAACAGTTCATTTGAGGTTAATCATTCCAGTGTATGGTTTGTTTCCACTGTACCAAATTTAACCAGATGGACCCTCACTTAGACTTCAAGGAGTGTAGCGCTTCTTCCCTAATTATGGCCTTCTACAGTTCTTTCACTACACAGGCAGTTTAGGTGGGATCAGTCCTCACACCCATGGCAAGCAGGTGTATATTAGAGAATCAATAACTATCAACCTGTCAGATAACACTAGAAAGCCTCCAATTCTTCTCTTCTTTCCAAATATTTGGTTCTCCAAATGGACCTAGGCCTTTGAAGCACAAAGACCTATTCAGAGCTGTCTTCAATGGTGGTGGTTCTCTGCCTAGCAACTCACCCTTCTGGCTCCAAAACACAATATCATTGTTTATTTTTTTCTAAACTTAAAAACAGCCCATGCCTTAGAAGTCAAGACCGAACTACCTTCCTGGGTGGTGGAATTAATGATATCTTTTCTTTCTTTCTTATGAATATAGAGTAGCCAGAAACAAGACAAAATTATTCTTTCTTTCTTACTGATGTAGAGTAGCCAGAAACAAAATAAAATCTATTATCTTGTAATCTGCCACTTTAGGTGGCAGAATATATTTTAAATGAGCTTAACGTTAAAATACACAATGCATTACTGGTGGGAATAGAAAGTAGTACAATATTTCTGGAAATTAAGCTAATAGTATAAGTGTGACTATACCTTGTGAGCCAGCAATACCATTTCTGGGTGTGTATTACATGGAAAACTTCCCACATGTGGATCTATAAGGATATTCATCACTGTTAGTATTCAAAGGTAACCTAGGTGGTCATCACTAGGGAAATTGATATGTAAAATATGAGGGACACATACTGTAGAAATTGATGCTGCAGAGAATGTAGCATTAGAAGCAACTGAGTAGATCTATATATAGCCACATGGATAGATCTGAAAATATAGTGATAAATGGGAAAAATACATAAATTAAAAAACAAGCACAAAACACATTTTATAGGCTGTATAATTATAGTCAGGACCTCAATTAAAATGCTAAACTGGCTATCTAGTTGGATGGATAATGGGAAATGTGTTCATCTAGGATGAAGGGAGAAAATAATTAATAAAATAAAAGAAGGAACCTGTAAAGACTGAGCATGATAATCTTCCATGAATTAAGTAGTATATAATACTTATTTTCTTTGTGCCTGGGGGAACAAACCAGCTTCAAACATCAAAAACGATAACCCAAATTCTTAGAAGAAAAGAAGTTCCATTTTCTTTCATTTTTTAAACTTTTATTTTAGGTTCAGGGGAACATGTGCAGGTTTGTTATATAGGAAAATTGCATGCCACAGGGGTTTGTTGCACAGATTATTTCATCACCCAGGTAATAAGCATAGTACCTGATAGGTGGTTTTTCAATCTTCACCCTCCTCCCACTCTCCACCCTCAAGTAGGCCTGGATTATCTGTTGTTCTCTGTGTCCATGTATACTCAATGATTAGCTCCCACTTGTAAGTGAGAATATGTATTTGGTTTTCTGTTCCTGTGTTAGTTTGCTTATGACAATGTTCTCCAGCACCATCCATACTGCTGCAAAGGATATAATCACATTATTTTTTAAAGGCTACATAGTATTCCATGGTGTATACGTATCACATTTTCTATATCTAGTCCATCATTGATGGGCATTTGGGTTGGTTCCATGTCTTTGCTATTGTTAATAGTGCTGTATGTATGTATGTCTTTGTGGTAGAGTGATTTATATTCCTTTGGTTATAGACCCAATAATGGGATTCCTGGGTCAAATGGAAATTTTGTTTTAAGTTCTTTGAGAAATTGCCAAACTGCTTTCCATAATGGGTTCACTAACTTACTTTCCCATCAACAGTGTATAAGTGTTCCCTTTTCTCCATAACCTCGCCAGCATCTGTTAGTTTTTAACTTTTTGATAATAGATATTCTGACTAATGTTAGATGGTATCTCATTGTGGTTTTGATTTGGATTTATTTAATGATTAGTGATGTTGAGCATTTTTTCATATGCTTCTTGGCTGCCTGTATGTCTTCTTTTAAAAATGTCTGTTCATGTCCTTTGCCCACTTTTTAATGGGGTTATGTTTGTTTTTTGCTTGTTAATTTGTTTAAGTTTCTTATAGATTCTGGATATTAGTTCTTTGTTGGACGCATAGATTGCAAATATTCTCTGCCATTCTGTAGGCTATCTGTTTAGCTTGTTGGTAGTTTCTTTTGCTCTACAGAGTTCTTCAGCAAACTTGCAAACTTTTGCTTTTGTCACAATTGCTTTTGGCATCTTCATCATGAAATCTTTGCCAGGTCCCATGTCCAGAATGATAATTCCTAAGTTATCTTCCATGGGTTTTATACTTTTAGGTTTTACATTTAAATCTTTAATACACTTTGAATTGATTTTTTATGTGTTTCAAAGGAGTGGTCCAATTTAAATCTTCTGCATATGGCTAGCAAGTAATCTCAGCACCATTTATTGAATAGGGAGTCCTTTCCCCATTGCCATTGCTTGTTTTGGTTGACTTTGTCAACAATTAGATGGTTGTAGGTATGTGGCATTATTTTTAGGCTCTCTATTCTGTTCCGTTGGTCTATGTGTCTATTTTGTACCAGTTCCATGCTTTTTTGGTTACTGTAGCCTTATACTATAGTTTGAAGACAAGTAATGTGATACCTCCAGCTTTGTTCTTTTTGCTGATGTTTGCCTTAGCTATTTGGGCTCTTTTTTTGATTTTATATGAATTTTAAAATAGTATTTTTTTTGGAATTCTGAGAAGAATTCCATTGGTAGTTTGATAGGAATAGCATTGAATCTGTAAATTGCTTTGGGCAGTATGGCCATTTTAACAATATTAATTCTTCCTATCCATGAGTTTGAAATGTTTTTTCATTTGTTTGTGTAATCTCTAATTTCTTTCACTAGTGTTTTGTAATTCTCCTTGTAGAGATCTTTCACCTCCCTGATTAGCTGTATTCCTAGGTATTCTTTTTTCTTTTTGTGGATATTGTGAACAGGGTTAAGTTTCTGATTTGGTTTACAGCTTGGATGTTGTTGGTGTATAGGAATGCTACTAAATTTGTACATTGATTTTGTGTCCTGAAACTTTGCTAAAATTGTTTATCTGCTTAAGGAACTTTTGGGCAAAGACTGGGGTTTTCTAAGTATAAAATTTCATCTGCAAGCAGAAATAGTTTGACATCCTCTCTTACTGTTTGGGTGCCCTTTATTTCTTTCTCTTGCCTAATTGCTCTGGCTAGGACTTCCAGTACTATGTTGAATAGGAGTGGTAATAGAGGGCACCCTTGTTGTCTTGTTTCAGTTTTCAAGGGGAATGCTTCCAGCTTTTGTCCATTCAGTATGATGTTGGCTGTGGGCTTGGTATAGATGGCTCTTATTATTTTGAAGTATGTTCCTTCCTTCAAGGAACATACTTCCTTGAAGTTTGTTGAGGGCTTTTTTCTTTTTTAACATGAAGAGATGCTGAATTTTATTAAAAGCCTTTTCTGCACCTATTGAGATGATCGTGTGTTTTTTTGTTTTTAGCTTAGTTTAGGTGGTGAATCACATTTATTGATTTGTGTATGTTGAATCAACCTTACATCCCAGGGATAAAGCCTACCTGATTGTGGTGGATTAGCTTTTTGATATGCTGCTGGATTCAGTTTGCTAGTACTTTGTTGAGTATTTTTGTATCTAAAGTTAGTCAAGAATCCAGGTCAAGAATAATGGCCTGGAGTTTTCCTTTTTGGCCATATTTCTGCCAGGTTTTGGTATCAGGATGATGGTGGCCTCATAGAATGAGTTAGGAGTCCCTTCTCAATTTTTGAAATAGCTTCAGTAGAAATGGTACCAACTCTTATTTATACATCTGGTAGAATTCAACTGTGAATTTGTCTGGTCCTGGGCCTTTTCTGGTTGATAGGCTTTTTATTACTGATTGAATTTTGAAACTTGTTATTGATCTGTTCAGGGATTCAATTTCTTCCTGGTTCAGTCTTGGGAGATTATATGTTTACAGGAATTTATTCATTTCATGCAGATTTTCTAACTTGTTTGTATAATGGTATGCATAGTAATCTGTGAGGGTTTTTTTTTGTATTTCTGTGGGTTTGGTGATCACAACCCCTTTGTCATTTCTGATTGTGTTTATTTGGATCTTCTCTTTTTTATTAGCCTAGCTAGTGATCTATCTTATTTATTCTTTCAAAAAATTAACTTAAGGATTCATTGATTTTTTTGTATTTTTAGGGGGAGGGTCTCGATTTCCTTCAGTTCTACTCTAATTTTGGTGTTTTTCTGTCTTCTGCTAGTTCTGTGGTTGGTTTGCTCTTGTTTCTCTAGTTCCTTTAGGTGTGACAATAAGTTGTTAATTTGAGATTTTTCTAACTTTTTGATGTGGGCATTTAGTGCTGTAAAATTCCCTCTTAACATGCTTTAGTTGTGTCCCAGAGAATCTTTGTTCTCATTAATTTGAAAGAATTTCTTGATTTCTACCTTAATTTTGTTGTTTACCCAAAGTCATTCAGGAGTAGGTTGTTTAATTTTTATGTAATTGATTTTGAGTGATATTCTTAGCATTGATTTCTATTTTAATTGCTCTGTGGTCCCAGAGTGTGGTTGGTATAATTTCATTTTTTTTAGATTTGCTGAGGAGTGTTTAATGGCCAGTTGGGTGGTTGATTTTAGAGTATTGCCATGTGCATATAAGAAGAATGTATATTCTGTTGTTTTAGGGTGGAGAGTTTTGTAGATATGTATTAGGTCTATTTAATCAAGTGTTGAGTTCAAGTCCTGAATATCCTAGTTACTTCTCTGCCTTGATTATCTGTCTAATACTGTCAGTGGCTATTGAAATCTCCCACTATTATTGTGTGGTTATCTAAGTCTCTCTGTAGGCCTCTAAGAACTTGTTTCATTAATCTGGGTGCTTCTGTGTTGGGTGTATACATATATTTAGAATAGGTAAGTCTTCCTGTTAAATTGAACTCTTTACCATTATGTAATGCCCTCCTTTGTATTTTTTGATCTTTGTTGGTTTGCAGTCTGTTTTGTCTGAAATTAGAATAGTAACTCCTGCTCTTTTTTGTTTTCTGTTTGCTTGGTAGATTTTACTCCATCTCTTTACTTTGAGCCTATGGGTGTCATTGCATGTGAGATGGGCCTCTTGAAGACAGCATACCATTGGATCTTGCTTCTTTATCCAACTTGCTACTCTGTGCCTTTTAATTGGGACAGTTAGCCCATTTATATTCAAGGTTAATATTGATATGTGCAGATTTGATCCTGTTATCGTGTTGTTAGCTGGTTATTATGCAGACATGTTTGTGTGGTTACTTTATAGTATCAAAGGTCTGTGTACTTTAGTGTGTTTCTGTAGTGGCCAGTAACAGTCTTTCCTTTTCATATTTAGTGCTTCCTTCGGGACCTCTTGTAAGACAGGTCTGGTGGTAACAATTCCCTTAGCATTTGCTAGTCTGAAAAGAATCTTAATTAGTTTGGCTGGATATGAAATTCTTGTCTGGATGTTTTGTTTTGTTTTTTGAGATGGAGTTTTGCTCTTTGTTGCCTAGGCTGGAGTACAGTGGCACGATCTCGGCTCACTGCAACCTCCACTTCCGGGGTTCAAACAATTCTCCTGTCTCAGCCTCCAGAATAGCTGGGATTACAGGCACCCACCACCACGGCTGGCTAATTTTTATATTTTTAGTAGAGATGGAGTTATCCCTGTTGGCTGGGCTGGTCTCAAACTCCTGACCTCAGGTGATCCACCCACCTTGGCTTCCCAAAGTGCTGGGATTTACAGATGTGAGCCACCACACCCGGCCTGGAAATTTTTTTTTTTTTCAAGAATGCTGAGGGCCAGGTGGGGTGGCTCATACCTGTAATCCCAGCACTTTGGGAGGCTGAGGCAGGCGGATCACCTGAGGTCAGGAGTTCGAGACCAGCCTGCCCAACATGGTGAAACCTTGTCTCTACTGAAAATAGAAGAATTAGCTGAGTGTGATGGCATGTGCCTATAATCCCAGCTACTCGGGAGGCTGAGGCAGGAGAATTGCTTGAACCCAGGAGGCGGAGGTTGCAGTGAGCTGAGATCATGCTGCTGCACTCCAACCTGGGTGATAGAGCAAGACTCTATCTCAAAAAAGAAGAATGCTGAACACAGGCTCCCATTCTCTTCTGGCTTGTAGAGTTTCTGTTGAAATATCCACTCTTAGCCTGATGGGGTTGCCTTTGTAGGTGACCTGCCCCTTCTCTCTAGCTGCCTTTAATATTTTCTCTTTCATTTTGGCCTTGGAGAAACTGATGACTCTGTGTCTTGAGGATAGTCATCTGTGTACTGTCTCATAAGGGTTTTCTGCATTTCTTGAGTTTGAATGTTGGCTTCTCTAGCAAGGTTGGGGAAATTTTCATGGATGATATCCTGAAATACGTTTTCCAAGTCATTTGCTTTCTCTCTTTGTATTTCAGGGATGCTAATGAATAGTAGATTTGGTCTCTTTACATAATCTCACATTTCTTGGATGTTTTGTTCATTCTTCTTTGTCTTTATTTTTGTCCTACGGAATTATCTCAGATAACTGGTCTTTTAGTTCTGAGATTCTTTCATCAGCTTGGTCAATTCTGCTGTTAATACTTGAGATTTTATTCTAAAATTCTTGGAGTTTTTCAGGTTTATCAGATTAATTTTGTTCTTTCTTAAAATGGCCATTTTGTCTTTCATCTCCTGTATTGTTTTATTGTATTCCTTAGAGTCCTTGGATTAGGTTTCGACTTCCTCCTGAATCTCTTGATGATCTTCATTTCTAACCATATTCTGAATTATATTTTGGTCATTTCTGCTATTTCATACTGGTTAAGAACCATTACTGGAGAACTAGTGTAGTTGTTTGGAGGTAAGAAGAAACTCTGGCTTTTGGAATCGCCAAAGTTCTTGTCCTCGTTCTTTCTCATCTGTGTGGATAGATGTTCCTTTAATGTTTGAAGTTGCTGTCCTGTGGATGTTTTTTTTTTTTCTATTATCTCCTTTGATGTCCTTGGGGGTTTCATTGTGATATAAGGTTTGTACAGTCTACTGGCTTCATTTTAAAAAGATTTTAGGGGGTCAAGGCTCAGCTTAGCACTCTTGGGCTATGTGTTCTAATTCTGGGTAGCTGGTATAGGGCCACTGGCTTTGTTCTCTGGTCCCTTGAGGTTAGGAACTTGTTGTGCTGAAGGGACTGAGGTATTCCCAGACCACTGACACAACACTCTGATGGATGATACCAGCCAAAGTGCTTTGTCAGGGCAGTTACAGCAGGATCTGTGCTGTGCCATCAGTGGCAGTGCAGTGGGGTAAATGCTTATCAGCTGGGATACGGTGCTGGTGGGCACCAGTCTGCTTCTCCCTAGGTGTGCATTCACAGTGCATCAGTGACAACCTGGAGCAGGGGAGCAAGGCCACTGGCATCAGTGTGGATGTTTGCACTGGTGGTGGTTGGTGTGGGGTTGGGGTGCTGGTGGATGCAGAACTGCTGGCCTCTATGTAGGGCAATTTTGCCAGTGGTAGTGGTGATGCAGTTCAGGGAAGGGGGTGGGGTGTGGGACCACCGGCCTTTGTTTGCAAGTTGATGCTGGCAGTGGTGATGTGGGGGTGGGGTATGCTCATGCCAGCAGCAGTGGTGCATTGGGGTGCACTGCATGCCAGCTGGGAAAGGGAGGCAAGGTCTACCCACATGTAAACAAAGAAGGGGGTGCAGCTGTGGGTAAGTGCGTACTGGCAGAGCAGCTCAGGAGAGGCTGTGATGGTGGGAGAGTGAGGGTGGGTTGGTACATGTCTATCTGCAGGGTCCACTCTTCTGGAGCTCTCCCCCATGGTCAGTTGCAGTCGGCCGTTGATGGACCTAGGAGGCAGGACCCTAGGAGGCACCATGGTTGGGCATCCGAGGCTGCACTGCAAATGGGTGTGGTCAGGCTGGGGCCCAGGAAGAGGCCAGCAGACAGGCCAGTGCTTAGATCTGACTGGCCCCGTCTCGTGGGCAAGACCACCCTGCTTTGTTTGAGTTGGACAACTCCCCTAGGCTAAAGTCTCCTAGAGGAGCATAGCGAGCATTGGGAGATTGGCATCCCTGACCATGCTCCACTGCAGATGGTCTTGCACCAAACCCTCTGGGCTCTGCACATGCAGGAGCTGTGTCCCTACCACCTCTCTAAGCAGCTCTCTCTGCCAGCTCAGGTGTCTATGGGTATCATGGGGCCTCCTGCTGCCAGGATTCCAGAGGTCCATGGTAAGTATGAGTTGTTCCTCACCTTTTCAACTTACTCCTTCCCCAGTAGTCATTGGGGGCCAGGAATGAATCCTGATGCATGGTAGCCCTGTGTGGTGTGCCCCGCTTACTTCCCTTCTGTAGAAGTTATATTTTCTAATCTTAATACACAGGAGAAATTCTGTGGCCATGTTCCTTAGATGAGAGCTATATTATTTTGGGTTTAATCACATTTAAGTTTATTGGCAAGCCTTGAATTCTGAGAAAGTATACTAGAGTGGTTTGTTCAGAGATATGCATTATGCATTAGCAGGTATTTTATAAAAATCAACTTTGTTGATATATAATTTACATGCAATAAATTTTATCTACTTTTAAGTTCAATGGATCTAGACAAATGTATTCATCTTTGTAATAGCCTCCCCGACTGGGATGTTGAACATCTTTGTTATCCCCAGACAATTTTCTTAAGGTTTTTGCCAGGCAATCTTCCACTCCAATTTGCAGCCCAGACAACAATCACTATACATCAGTTTCACCTATCTTCGAATTTTATATAAATTGAAACATGCAGTATGATTTTTGTCTGCCTTCCTTGGCTTAGTATAATGTTTTTGAGAGTCATAGATATTGACTCTCGAATTGTATGTATCAGTAGTTTATAGCTTTTTACTGTTTAGTAGTATGTCATTTTATGGAAATGCCATAATTTGTTAATCCTGATGTAACCTGTTGATTTATAATTAAGTTGTTTGTAGCTTTTGGCTACTATAAATAAATCTTTAAAAATGTTTTTATGCAAGCCTTTATGCTGATATATGTTTATAAATTTATTTTTGTATTTGATGTTAAATAGAGATTATTATTGATTATTACGACTATGATTATTTTGCATCTGGATATTCAAATTTTCCAACATCATTTGTTGAAAAGACTATTTTTTCCCCATTGCATTACCTTGAGATATTTGTTTAAAACAGTTGTCTTTTAACAATATACCTATTTTTGTTCCACTGATCTGTAAGTAGTATACTATCCTTATTAATGTAGTTTTGGAATAAGTCTTCATATTAACTGTGCAAGCCCTCTAACATTGTTTCTTATTTTTAAAATTGTTTTTACTATTCCGGCTCTTTTGCATTTCTGTATCAATTTTAGGATTCCCTTGTCAATTTCTCCAAAAATCTTCCTGTAACTTTGCTTGGTATTGGTTTGAATCTATGTGTCTATAAAGAATTGATATCTTAAAAATATTAAATCCCCCAACCACCAACATGGTATATTTCTCTATATACATTTTCTTTAATTTCTCTCAACATTGTTTTACAGTTTCAGTGTCCAAATTTTGCTTATATTTCTTTCTTTCTGTTTTTTTTTTTTTTTTTTTTTTTTTTTTTGAGACAGAGTTTTGCACTTTCACCTAGGCTGGAGTGAAGTGGCATGATCTCGGCTCACTGCAACCTCTGCCCCCCAGGTTCAAGTGATTCTCCTACCTCAGCCTCCTGAGTAGCTGGTATTATAGGCACCCGCCACCACGCCCGGCTAGTTGTTGTATTTTTAGTAGAGATGGGGTTTTGCCACGTTGGCCCATATTTCTATTACCTAAGTAATTTGTATTTTATTGATATTTTCATAAGGTATATATTTTATTAAATTTCTTTTTAAAGTTATTTTATTTTTAGCATATAGAACTATAATTGATTTTTGTATCTTGACTTTGCATCCTGCACTCTTGCTAAATTCACTCATTAGTTCTAGTAGTTTTCTGTGCATTCTGTAGAATTTTCTTTTTATGTAGTAATGTCTATCTATAAGGACAGTTTACTTGCTTGCAATTGTTTTCTTGCCAATTATACTAGCTAGGAAACTTAATTAATTATGATATTACATAGAAGGTGACTTAGTTTCTTCCTGATCTTAGGGGCAGCATGCTTATTTATTCTGCATTAAGAATTATGTAGCAGTAGGGTTTGTAGTAAATGTTGACAAAGGTTATTATTACTATTATTTTGCATATGGATATTCAATTTTCCAGCATCATTTGTTGAAAAGACTATCCTTTCCCCATTTCATTATGTTGAGATATTTGTTTAAAACAATCATGTTTTCTGCTTTGTTCTCTTGCCTTCTTTCTGGTGGTCTGCCTCACAAATTTCAGCTGTTTAGCCTCCCAAACTGTGATCTCCACCTCAAAGGTTTTGTAGACGAGTCTTCCCTGCTTGGCTTACGCTTTTCCACTTTGTGATCCAGACAGTTCCTTAGGGTAGAAACTGGGGGTAAACAAAGGGATCACAGTCCTACACTACCTGTTGTCTAGACTCTGAAAACACTTCTTTCACAAGTTTTGTTTGCTTATATTGAAATACCTAGTCCAGCATCAGTTACTCTGTCAGGACCAGAAGAGGATGGTTTTTCTTTCCTGGAAGTCTATAGTCATCTTCTCTTAGGCCAGAATTACTTAGATTTTCATATTAATTCCTGAACCAATGACCAGCAAGTGGCATGAGATTACCATTTTTGGTGCAATCTAACAGTAATCAGAGTCCACTCATGTGGTTGAGGATGGCAAAGGCCACATTATATTTATTTATTTATTTATTTATTTATTTATTTATTTATTTTTGAGGCAGGGTCTTGCTTTATCACCCAGGCTGGAGTGCAGTGGTGCAATCTCGGCTAACTGCAACCTCCACCTCCCGGGTTCAAGCGATTCTCATGCCTCAGTCTCCTGGGTAGCTGGGACTACAGGAGCGCATCACCACTCTGAGCTAATTTTTGCATTATTTTGTAGAGATGGGATTTCGCCATGTTGGCCAGGCTAGGCTCGAACTCCTGACCTCAAGTGATCCACCCCCCTTGGCCTTTCAAAGTGCTGGGATTACAGGAAGGAACCACTGTGCCCAGCCAAAGGCCAAACTTTAAAAAGAGTGCTTAGCAAAGGGATACAAGGGAACTTTTTTGGGCAAGTTAAAAATTTTGTATCTTGGTGATAGTACTGAATACACGACTTTATATTTTCAAAACTCATCAAATTGTAAACTTAAAATTGATACATTTTATTGTAGTTAAATTATACCCTAATAAAGCCATTTGAAAAAGCAATAAATTATCACCTGCTTTGGTTGTATATGCAGAAAACTGTATTTTAAAAGGTACAGATATCAATAGAAAAAAAGAGCCTGAGCCCCAGTCTCTCAGCCTCACTGTGAGCCTTATACAAGGTAATGTTTTAACTATCGAATGCCTAGCAGCCGAAAATACTCTAGAGAGATTAGCTTCCTAGGCCAGAAGCCTTGAGGGCTTTTTTTCTTGCATTCTGTCTCTTATTTTTTTTTCGTTACCGTCATCTCTTAGGTAGGCAACTTCTTTCTCTCTCATACCCCACTTGAAGAGAAAGTGCTTTCCTCTCTCTTTAATGGAATGGCCTCTTTTTTTCTTATAGGAGTCCATCCTCCTTAGCCTCTCCTAATAGCCTGCAGACTTAAACAATACAGTGCAGTGTCTTAGTTTATCTTCCTAGAGAAATAGTCCTTTCTTTCATATCAGAAGTGTCTTACCTTGTTTTACTCGGGATCATTGGTGAAAGAAGTCCATTATAACTTTGAAGTTACTGCTGTGTAGTGGACTGATTGCCTGCAGCGCATCAGCTCCTCTTTTTCCTGCTTAGTAGAACTCTGAATGTGTTCCAGTATCTACTATACTTTCATGTAGCCTATGTGACTCAAGAGAAATTGACCTTTTTCCATGTAATATGAGCTCAATAAATCTTTGTTGAATAAATTGCGTTTATTAAACTTTATTTTAACTTTTCATTTGATCTCCTGTTTCCCCAAGTGTGATATGGTTTGGATGTTTATCACCTCCAAATCTCATGTTGAAATGTGATTCTTATTGTTGGAGGTAGGGCCTGGTGGAAGGTGATTAGATCATGGCAGTGGATCCTTCATGTACAGTTTAGCACTATCCCCTTGGTGATGATGGAGATCTCATTCAGTTCATGCGAGATCTGGTTGTTTAGAAGTCTGGGATCCCTCTACCCGACCCTGCTCCCTTGCTCCCACTCTTGCCATGACATGCTTTCTCTCCCTTTGCCCTCTGCCGTGATCGGAAGCCTCCAGCATCACCAGGAGCTGATGCTGGATCCATGCTTGTACAGCCTGCAGAACTCTAAGCCAATTATTTTTTTTTCTTTATAAATTGCCCAGTCCCAGATATTCCTTTATAGCAATGCAAGAATGGCCTAACGCACTTAAGATTGTCTTATTTATTAGGTACTGTTAACATAGTGTGTAAAGCCAAGAGGCAGAGACTCTGAAGGTGTAAGAGACTCCCCTCCCCTCAAAAAAACCCAAAACCAGAAATGAGGCTTTGTGTTCATAGCATTGGTTAGGTTGTGCTGCAATCACAATTATTTCCCAGGTGTTGGCGACTTTAAAAAGGCTTTATTTCTAGCTTATGTTACATGTTCCTTGCAGGTTAATGATGAAAGGTTGGGGGTTCTGGGCTTCAATAAGCCACTTAAGAATCCAGGCTGATAGAACCTCTGCCATGTCTTATTTGCACCATCTAGAAAACACAGCCTTCCTGATTGCCAAGGCAATTGGGGAAGAGAGAGCCTGAAGATTGGGCATGGACTTTTCTCTGCCTCACTATTTACCTTTCACTGGGCAGGACTAATTATGTAGCTTTTCAGCTGGAACATGTAGCTTTCTATTTGCTCAGAGGAGAGGAGGGCTAGTGATTGGTGGATATTATTTTATCTACCAAAAGTTCTAAAATATAAAAATAAAACTGAAAATTCAAGTTAATAATTCAAATTAATAAAAACCCAAAATAAAAATAAAGAAAATCCACACTAATAGTTAATTAAATGTTACTTCATCATTAAATGGGGGCATACATAAATATTTCACTGCATTCAAAAAGTGTCTTTCTTAATTTCCAAAACCTCAGTATGTGTAATGCTATTAAATCATAATCATAAATTATATGTTACTTATATCCAATGATGTCAAACACAAAATTGAAAAACATTTATAACTTTTTCTGCTACTTTAAAAATGTTTAATATGATGTGTGGTATGGCCTCCAAAATTAAAACAACCAAAGAAAGTATTTTAATGCTGTTAGTAGGCAGTAAGCGCCATGAAGGCATAATCTTTTTCTTTTGTTAGTTATTCCTGGGGTCTGGCACAATTTCTGACATGGTGGAGAAGCTCATCAATATTTGTTAATACAGAAGGAGCAGGATTGAAAAAAAATACTTGTCAAACTACTGAACAAAACCATAAAATAATTTAGTCTTCACTTTCGAGGAAAGTATAATCCTAGTGAAGAAACTGATGAGTTCAATACATTTCTGTAAATGTTAGCAGTCAAAGTCCCAGTAGAAAAAAGCTGGCAAACACAAATTGAATAGTTTGAAGAGAATTTAATGAAGATGTGGACAGGTCTGAGGTGGGGAGGAAAGGAAGTAGTTCCTGGAAAGAGGGCCACTTACAGCAAAAGTGACTTTGGGTTGAGGGACACAGCCAGCCTGCAGACATTTTCCAAGTCAGATAGAAAATGTAGGTGGAAAATTCTATGCCAGGCAGAGGGAATAAGATTTTACATGGCAAGGAGGGGTGAAAACACCAAATGTACTGAATTGATGGTGAAGTGCAGCATCAGAAGTAGGCAGAGGTGACTGGGTACAGTGGCTCACACCTGTAATCCCAGCACTTTGAGAGACTGAAGCGGGCAGATCACTTGATGTCAGGAGTTCAAGACCAGCCTGGGCAGCATAGTGAAACCCTGTCTCTACTGAACATACAGAAATTAGCTGGTCACGGTGGTGCGCATCTGTAATCCCAGCTACTTGAAAGGTTGAGGCAGGGGAATCGCTTAAACGTGGGAGGTGGAGGTTGCAGTGAGCTGGGATTATGCCACTGCACTCCAGCTTGGGCAACAGGGTGAGACTCCACCTCAAAACAAAACAAAACAAAGAAGTAGGCAGAACCAGAAGGTCCTGGAGTAGAGTGGAGAAGCAGATAGGAGCTGTAATGTGAAGCATCTTTGGAAACAGATGTCCCCCTGTAGGTATGGCCTATTGACTGATTAGGAAACCAAACCCTTCAAAACATTCCTGAACAATGTAAACTTCTCCCTAGTGAAAACAAAAATATAACTACAGGGGCTGGTGCCAGGGAGATTTTACAGGTTGCCTTTTACCTTTTTCCTCAAAATATGGTTCAAAAGTATTTTTTCCTCAGTCCAATTTCAAAAATTCCCTCCTCATAAATTGAGAGTCTGAGCCAGGAATATGTCTGAATGTAGCCCTTGCTTTGTGATGGCAGGAGAATGTCTGGGTTGAGTGTAGCTAATAAAAGATCTACCTGGAGAAGAAAGTAGAGGAAGAAACAGAAGGAGTCTGAGAGATGAATCTTGAGTCCCTGGATCCAATATCCTGGAACGAGAACTGCAATTTATCATGGTCCCACCCATTTTCCAGAGTTGCCTTGGCTCACGGTGCCCGGCCTTAGTTTAAGGCTCTGATTCAGTCACTGTGGTTTGTTAGGTGGGGCTTCCCAAGAGGTGATGCTGCTTGTCTGTGGCTTCCACTCCAGCCAGGTTCAGACAATTGCCAGTCCCATCAGTAGGTGCAACGGCAGTAGTAGGAAGTTTATGAGTTTGCTCCCTAGTATCCGTCCAAAGGCCAGGAAGCTGAATGCAAGCATCCTAGACATGAGTGGGTCGTAGGAGGGTAGATGTGTAGACAAGCTTACTTGCATTTGCTCTTTTTAGTGCCTGCAAACTTCAGCTCCCTACTGGTCTTGCATTGTTGGGCTGTCCATATCAGTCCCACTTCTGTCTTCCAGAGCCTTTCTAGTTCTCCCGTATTCCTGCTTGTCTGCTACATGGCAGATTCCCAGCTTATTCACTGTTCAGCCCTATCATGGTTACTACTTGGAAAGTCTTCTTTGGTTCAACAAAACTACCATAGGCCAGACTTGAAATAAGCTTCACCTAGAAGAGGATAGCCAGGAAAAATAGCATGCCAGGAGGGCAGTCAAATGTTTCTCTTTGGTGGGAGAAATCTTCACAGCAATACATACGGTCTTCCAGGAGCCAGCCGTTTTTGTTCCATACCCACATCCCAAGTTTTAGCTCAGTTGTGAAGAGAGGAGATCCAACTGGGTAAGTACTGTATTCAACCTAGCTTCAAGGCCTTGTGTCATAAATATGACTTGGTATCATACATTACTTTCTTAGGCACAGTTTCCAGGATTCTTGCAAGGAACATGTTTGATTACAAGAACTATCACTTTCAGAGAAGTCTGAAGATGTGTATTCCAATAAAGTATTTATAGTTCATACACATAGCTTCCACTCCAGATGTTATTGGGTATGAATCAGGGATTTTTTTTTCTTTCTTTTCTTTTTCTTTCTTTCTTTTTTTTTTTTTTTTTAACTAAAAGCACGTTGCTTGGTAACAGAGTTGCTCTTCTGCCTTTATTAGGTTTCCAGGGGAACAGTGTTAAATGTTAACCCAAGGTCATTCTGGAAAAAGAGAAAGGGTATTATTAACCATGTATCCATAGAAGGTTTCACTGATAGAATGTCATTTGAGAAAAGACTTGAAGGAGGAAAGGGAGTTAGCCATGGGGCTATCTGAGAAAACTCTCTAGGCAGAAGGAACAATCAGTTTAAGTACCCGAGGTGGAGGCATATCTGCAAAGGGTGAGGAATACCAGAGATGTCAGTGCCTCTGGAGTAGAGTCAATGAGAAGAGTGGTAGGAGCTGGTGAGAGGTAAGTGGTGAGGATGCAGGCTAAGTAGTGCTTCTTAGGACATTGTAAAAGACTGGATATTTCTTTGAGTAAAATAGAAAGATATTGGAGAGTTTTGAAAAGAAGAGTGATGAAATCAGCCTGATATTTTAAAAGGACCATTCTAGCTATCGTGTTGAAAATAGATTGTACCAAAGGGTGGAAGCATGATGACTTGTAGAAGGCTGTTGTAATAATTTCATATGGGCAGTGGCTTGGATTCCTATAGTAGCAGTTGAAGTGAAGGGAAACTAGTCACTTTTTAAATATATTATAGACAAAGCATGTAGTTCAGCTATGCATTCTCTATCAAATACAACTTTTAAAGCTTATTCAGTTATCTGTATACATGAATGTAGTGCATAAAGAATGACAGCAGTGCATCCTGAGAAATTGGGAAAGATGGCCAGTAAACAATCAGGATTTGAGAGTGAAGCAAAAATAGTAAACCCATACTGCCCAAACTGAGATATGAAAATCACTGAGAGCTTCATTGTCATATGAAAGGTCAATGCTGGTGTCTCCAAGTGTATAGAAAGTTGATTATGTTTCTCTGATGAAAATTATGGCCAAACCCAGGTATTTACTTTTCCTCTCAAGCCTAGGAGTTAGAGTCCAGGCTGGGCAACATAGTGAGGCTCCGTCTTAAAAATAATAATAATTATCATGATAATAATATCAAACAAACTACAAACTACCTTCTCCTAACTCCCAGTATTCTCAACCCCACTTCCCTATTTTTCTCCATAGCTCTGATCACTATCTGATATATTCTGTATTTTCCTTGTTAATTTATTGTCTGTAAATAGAAATGTAAGTTACTTGATGACAAGTAGTTTTGTCTGTTTTGTTCACTCCTATATCACCAATCCTTGACAAGTGTTAGGCATACCCACATTTTCTGAAAGACTAAATAGTATATTTCAGATAAACTGGTTGTTTTTTAATTAACCTATTTTTTCCTCTTTCTGTATGTTGTTTTTATTGTCTTCTTTTGATGCAAGCATATTTTTTCCACACATGTACAATCTATTATTAAAAATTTCAACCTTATAAAAGTAGATAAAATAGTATTAATTAAGTCCCATGTGACCATCATTTCTTTTTAATGATTATCAACTCATTGTCAACCTTGTCTATTTCACTATCCTTATCACGACACCCTCCATGAGTTATTTTGAAGGAAATCTAAGACATGTAATTTCAAGATGTATCTCTAAAAGACAAGGACTTTTAAAAAATACATGGTTGGAATACTACTAACACTGCAAAAAAATGAGCGCAACTCTATAATCTCAGCACAGAAAAAAGGAATATTTTCATAATGTCAGCAAATATGCAGTCACTGTTTAATGTTTCCCAAGTGACTCACATTTTTAAAAACAATCTGTTTAAATCAAAATACAATTAAGGCCTCTATACTGCAGTTCAGTGGATGTATCATTTATCTATTGTTACAGTAATATAATGCTTCATCACAATACCTACAATACTTCTGAGGTTAAACAATAAAGCATTTAATGCTAATGTATATGGGGTCAGTGTGCAGCTTTGTTGATCTTGCCTGAGATCATTCCCATTGGATTTGGCTGACTGTTAGCTACGTATGTTGGCCCCACCTGGGATGACTGGTATGACTTGTCCTTGATCTGCATGTCTCTCATCATCCACAGGCCAGCTCTGGCATGTTCTCATAGTGATGGCAAAGGAACCAGAGTATGATATGTAGCTTTGAAGTGATTCCAAATACTTACCTAGTTTGCCATGTGAGTGACATGTTTTGCTGTGATAAGAACATGGAGTCTAATCCCTCTCCATGCAAAAATGTTATACCTCACCCTATTGGACTACATGTGTGAGTTACTGGACTCACTGGACTCCAACACACATATAAGCCCAGGGTTATGACAAACACATTGACAGCTCGGGTCCAAAAGTCAATTTGTTTGGCTATTCTGGCAGGGATGCCTATTAAATATGTCACTGAACATAAGGATCATGTAACCAGTACATTTTTTGAAAATTCCATTTTCACCAAACAACTATATGATTGTGATTTGATTTCTCATATTATCTGCCTGCTGAATTTTTAGTTAATGCTTGTCTTGCAAATGAACAACTTCATTCTAGCACATTTAGGTATACTTTGAATGTGATTAGTGACAGCCATCTTAAGTCACATCTACTGTAGGAGTTTTATATTATGTTGGTGCAAAAGTAATTGCGGTTTTTGCCATTACTTTTAATGCAAAATCGCGATTACTTTTGCACCAACCTAATATTAGGAAAGGTAAGGACTAGAATCTGCACTATGGTAAATTACTCAAAGTAATATGATCCTGGGAGGGCTCTTTTCACTAGTGGCAAGCAGATTCTGCCTTTCCATTTAGCTCCTTCTACCTTCAATGGTCTTAAAATGGTGTATTTCCTAATATAAATTGATAAACTGGTTTTTAAATGACAAGTCAGACTCCATTTAAACTGGCAACTTTTTAAGGGCAAGTTCTCTAGAGCCTAAGCATTTCTAAGTAAACTGATAAAATATAATTCAGAGGACAACAAAACCAAGGATCTTCTTCATCTACCAATATATTATTTTTCTTTTCCAACTTCTATTTTAGAATCAGAGGGTATATATTCAGGTATGTTGCATGGATATTTTACATGATGCTGAGGTTTGGGGTATGATTGATCCCACAACCCAGGTTCTGAGCATAATACTAATAGGCAGTTTTTCAGCCTTTGCCTCCCTCCCTCTCTCCACCTTTTAGTAGTCCCCATTGTCTATTGTTCCCATCTTTATTTCCATGTGTACCCAGCGTTTAGCTCCCACTTACAAGTGAGAACATGTGGTATTTGGTTTTCTATTTCTGTGTTAGTTTGCTTAGGATAATGGCCTCCAAATGTAGTCATGCTGCTGCAAAGGACATGACTTCATTCTTTTTTTGTGGGTGCATAGTGTTCCATGGTGTATGTGTGCCACATTTTCTTTATCTAATCCACTGTTGATGGGCCCCTAGGTTGATTCCATGATTTTGCTATTGTGAGAAGCACTGTGATATATATATATATGAGTACATGTATCCTTTTGGTGGGATAATTTATTTTCCTTTAGGTATATATGCAGTAATGGGATTGCTGGGCCAAATGGTAGTTCAGTTCCTAGTTTTTTGAGAAATCTCCAAACTTTTCTCAACAGTGGCTGGACTAATTTGTATTATTTCCACCAACAGTGTATAAGTGCCCCTTCCACTGCCTCACCAAAATCTGTTATGTTTTTGAGTTTTTAACAAAGACCATTCTGACTAGTGTGAGATGGTATCTCATTGGGGTATTGATTTGTATTTCTCAGATGATTAGTGAGGATGAGTATTTTTTTTCATATGTTTGTTAGCCACTTGTATGTCTTCTTTTGAGATGTATCTGTTCATGTCCTTTGCTCACATTTTAGTGGTTTTTGCTTCTTTAAGTTCCTTATAGATCCTGGATATTACACCTTTGCTGGATGCATGGTTTGTTAACATTTATCATTCCATTCTGTAGGTTGTCTCTATACTTTGTTGATAGTTTCTATTGCTGTGCAGAAGCTCTTTAGTTTAGTTGGGTCCCACTTACCATTTTTGTTGTTGTTATAATTGCTTTTGAGGACTCAGCCATAAATTCTTTGCCAAGGCTGATGTCAGCAAAGGTATTTCCCAGGTTTTCTTCTAGGATTTTTATAGTTTTAGGTCTTACATATAAGTTTTTAATTTAAGTTAATTTTTGTATATGGTGATAGGTAGGGGTCCAGTTTCATTCTTCTGTATTTGGATAGCCAGTTATTCCAGCACCACTTATTGAATATGGAACTTTCCCTGCATTGCTTGTTTTTGTTTTTGTTGTAATGTCATCTTTGTTGTTTCTGATTGTGCCATTTGGATCTTCTCTCTTTTTTTCTTTGTTTAGCTAACAGTCTATCAATCTTGTTTATCCCTTCACAGTACCAACTTTTGGTTTAATTTGCTTTTATATGGACATTTGCATCCTAGTTTCATTCAGTTATTCTTTGATTTTAGTTATTTCTTTTCTTCTGCTACCTTTGGGTTTTTTTTTTTTCTAGTTCCTCTAGGTGTGATGTTAGAGTGTCAATTTGAGGTCTTTCTAGCTTCCTGATATGGGTGTTTAGCACTGTTAACTTTTCTCCTAACACTGCTTTAGCCACATCCCAGGGATTTTGGTATGTTGTATTTTTATTTTCATTAATTTCAAAGAATTTGAATCTCTCTACTTCTCTCTCAGGAATGCCAATGAGTCACAGGTTTGGTTTCTTTATACAATCCTGTATTTCTCCGAGGTTTTGTTCATTTATAAAAAATTAATTTTTCTTTATTTTTCTCTGAGTTGATTTGAAGAACTGGTCTTAGAGCTCTGAGATTTTTTTCCCTCAGCTTGGTCTATTTTGTTGTTAATGCTTCCAACTGTATCATAAAATTCTTTTAGTTAGTTTTTCAATTCCAGAACCTCAGTTTGGTTCTTTTTTAAAATGGCAATTTTGTCTTTCAATTCTTGGATCATTTTACTGAATTCCTTGGATGAAGTTTTGGATTTCCTCTGGATCTCAGTGAGCTTCCTTGCCATACAGATTCTGAATTCTCTGTCTGTCATTTCAGTCATTTTAATCTGATTAAGAACCACTTGCTAGAGAGGGAGAGATGACCCCCCTCACCATGTCCTTTCCTGTGCCTTAGGGGAGCCCCCTTCGATCACTGGTGCTGCACCTGCATTTCCTTTGTTAGGTGTTCCAGGATGCAGCGCTCCCTCAGGCAGAGGCTGTGGCCGGCAGACTGACCACATCCTTCCTGGACCAGCCTTGTAGAGGGAGGCATGCCCTGCTGCCATGCTAGTCCACAAACCCATGTCTCATTCTTCTCAGTGTTCTGAGAGTGGGGGCTCTTCCCCTGCTTAATTTCTGGTAATAGGTCTCAGCTTGGTACCCCTGAGCTATATGCTCTAAGCCTGGGGCACTGGGACTAGACCTATGGCTTTCTCCTCTGGCTCCTTGGGGTCAGGTACTGGCTGTGCTGAGGGAGCCAAAGTGCTCCCAGGCTGCTGGGAAAGCACTCAGACAGGGCCACTGGCAAAGCATCCATGCTGGGCGGTGGAGGCTATGATGCATGCACACTCTTGCAGGAGCACTCTCGTGCAGGGGCCTTGGGAGGGGCAGGGAGAGATGTGCTGAAGAGGCATGATCCAGTCCCGTGGGAGAGATGGCCCTGCTCTCTCCTGGCCTGGTGATCAGATGGGGTTAGAGGTACTTGGAGGAAGATGGAGAGCCTTGGGGAATCGATGCCTATTACTGCATTTTGCTACAGCTGCTTATCACACAAACTCTCCTAGGTTCTGCACAGGCTGGAGCTCTGTCTCTATCTACTCTCTGAGCAGATCCCCCTGTCAATTCTAATGTGTATGAGGGTTGTGGAATCTCTGGTAGTTAAGATCACAGAGGTCCTCTGCGATCATGGGTTTCTTTGCCATCACTTCACTCTGCTCTTCCCCTTAGGAGCTCTTCAGGGCTGAGAACTAGTCCTAGCACTTGGCAACCCCGTGCAGGGTTCCTAACTTCCTCCCTCTTCAGCCTCAGTGTCTGCATCGTCTCTCTGTTGACTCTCAGTGTTTTCTCTCTGAGGATCTTTTTAAAATATGTTTTTTTACTCAATATTTTGATCTAATCAGCCATCTTGTCCTCTCCCTTCCCAATATACTATTATGAGGACCTTCTGAGTGGCTAGCCAGCTCTTCTCCTTAATATATATAAAAAAAAAAACAGAACAAACAAACTATGAAGTTTTCTTCTGTTTATAGATTGTCTATAAGCAAGAAATATAAGCTTTATAAAATTCAGTGATGCTATGATAAATTTTATATGATGTGCAATATTCCACAACTAAAAAATGTAAATTTTTTTGCTAGGATACCCAAGAACTCTAGGTTGCAGATACAGTGGTCACTCCTGTCAGCCTCTTAGCATTTGACACAAGTGGTCTCTTTCTTGGAACATGTGGCCTCTAGGATACTCCATGCTTATGGCTTTTTTTTCTACTTGAAGTATTGTTGGCTCTCAGTTGCATTTCTGGGATCATCCTCATCTTTCTGACCTCTAACTGTTGGGGTTCCCTAGGCTCAGTCCCTCTACCTCTTTTCTTCTCTATGTTTATTTCCTAGGTCACTTAATTCAATCCCTTAGCTTTAAATACCACTTAGGTATTTTTCAAATTTATGTTTCCAGGGCCAGTGTGTTCTCTGAAGTCTAGACTTTTATGTGTCTTTGGATATCTAATAGCATCTTAATTTTAACATGTCTTAAACCAAATTCTTGATTTCTACTTTATCATCACCCTCCCACTCCCCATACAAAGGAAAGTAAACAAAAGAAGCTGCTCTTAGTGCAGCGGGGGTCATACACTTTCATTGATTAACTGTGTGGCCTTGGGCAAGTTATTAAAAATTTCAGTGCCTCAGTTTCCTTGTTTGAGAAGATCAAATGAAATAATACATATAAAGCATTTGGAAAAGTGCCTGAGCCCTACTAAAAATAAGGTTAACTATTAGTTATTATTATTTATTGTTACCAAAATGATAACAGTAACAACAGAACAATAATAACAATTTTTGTTGATTTTACTCTAAGGTTGTTTTCTGAATCCTAATACTTTCCACCACTTCCATGGCTACAACCCAAGTCAAAGCCATCATCCTCTCTTGCCTGGAAAATGGCAAGAACCTCCTCACTGGTCTACTCGTTTTCATTCTTGCCTTGTGTGATAGTTAATTTTATGTCAACTTCACTAGGCCATGGGGTGCCCAGATATTTGTTAGACATTATTTTGGCTGTATCTGTGAGGGTGTTTTTAGATGAGATTAACACTGGACCCAGTAGATTGAGTAAAGCAGACTACCATCCATCCCTAATGTAGGTGGGCCTCATCCAATCAGTTGACAGTCTGAGTAGAAGAAAAAGGGGAATATTCTCATGAGTAAGAGGATACACACCTGCCTAACTGCTTTGAGATGGGACATTGGTTTTCTTCAGCCTTTGGACTTGACCTGAAACGTCAGTTCTTCTTGGGTCTAAAGCCCGCTGGCTTTGGACTGGAATTATAACATCAGTTCTTTTGGGTCTCCACCATATTGACTATAGTTGTTGGGACATCTCAGCCTCTGTAACTTTCAGAGCCAATTTCTTAGAAGTCTCCTTATGCACATATGCACACATGCACACACACACCCTGTGGATTCTGTTTCTCAGGAGAACCCTGACTAATATACTCTATAAGTTTATTCTCTCCAAACAGCTAAGGGAATCCCTTAAGAGAGTAAATCTGATCACATCAGTCCCCTGCTAAAGACAGTCTAGTAGCTTTTCTTCATTCTTGAAGTAAAATTCTGAGTTATTTTCTTGAGGGGAAAGAGAGACAGAGAGAGAGAGAGAGAGATACCAACACACACACACACACACACACACACACACACACACACACACACACACACAGAGAGAGAGAGACAGAGAGAACTTGAGATTACCATTTCTTTACTAACGGAAAATCCCACCTGTGTTCGTTCCTCCCCATAATCAGCTGGAAATAGAAATTAGAACGTGTGATAACGTGGAGCTCCAAATAATTGACTTGTCACTTTTAAATGTTAAATAACATTGTTTATTTTTAATGATATGAAAAAGTGTATTTTAGGAAATGACCCGTAATGCCTATGACATAGAAAATAAAGTATGACATGCTTATAGAAAGCACAGTCAAACAGTATGGAAAGGTTCTAAATGACTTATAGTCTCTTGAACATGTGGACCTACCATATTAGTTTCTCATGTTTCCTTCCAGAAAAGAAATTATGTGTTCATTGTCTGTATATAAAATATTTCTATTTTTTCATTCACACAAAAAGAGTATACTTACACATTATTCTGCTCTTGATTTTGCAACTCAGTAATATGGCTTGGCCATCCTTCCGTTATTAGCTAATATAGATCTTTCCCCTTGTATCATGGACTACATAGTATTCCATAGTCTGGAGATGTCATATTTTATTTAATAAGAACTAGAGTGTTGAAAAAGCGTTTGTTGTTTTCATTTTTAGCTCCAATAAATATCCTGTACATCTATCTGGATGAATTTTTGCAAGTGTGGATGTAGGTAAATTCCTTGCAATTAATTGAGAGGTGAGAGGGGAAAGGGTAAACACACTTTAAATGTTGGAAGATATCACAAATTGCCTCTAAAATGTGTAAATTTACATATCTAGCAACAGTGTCAGCATTAGTCATTGTTAAACTTTAAAACCTTTTAAAACTTTTAGTTAGTGGGTGAAACTAACATCTTATTTTCATTTATATTTCTTTAATTATGAATATAAAATTTTTCCTCAGCCTATTTTTTGGCCAAAAATATTGGCCATTATTTTTATTTTACTATAAATTATCTGTTCATATTTTTGTTTATTCTTTATTAGTTTACTTATCTTACCCTTGATTCTTATAACTTGTGAATACGTTAAAGAAAATTTTTGTGTAATGTGTACTATAAATGTGTTTCCAAGTCTTAACTGTAATTTTTATGAACAATTTTTTTTGTTTTTGTTTTCCTTTTTTTTTTTTTGAGACAGAGTCTTGCTCTGTTGCCCAGGCTGGAGTGCAGTGGTACAATCTCGGCTCACTGCAACCTCCTCCTCCCGGGTTCAAGGGATTCTCATGCCTCAGCCTCCGGAGTAGCTGGGATCACAAGTGTATGCCACCATGTCTGGCAAATTTAGTAGAGATGAGGTTTCATTATGTTGGCCAGGATGGTCTTGAACTTCTGGGCTCAAGCAATCCACCCATCTTGGCCTCCCAAAGTGCTGGAAGTACCGGCATGAGCCACTGCACCTGGCCTTTTATAAACAATTTCTTATGTAGTCATGTGACTTCTGAATTGTGTTTTACCTTTCCTGTTCTCAGATTTTTGAATGCATTCACTGTTTCTTTCTTTGAGAACACTGATGATTTCATATTTTGAGTGTTTAAATCTTAGATCTCTCTGGAAATGATTTAATTGCTACAAACCAAGTAGGGATCTTAATATATTTTCTTCCTAATTGGTTACCTAATTGCCTCAACATTATTTATTGAACAATCTATTCCTTTGACTACTTACTTGAAATACTCATTTATCAAATGGATTTGCATCAATTTTTGAATTCTCTCTTACATTCTGTTGATCCATATGCTTCTTCTTTAGTCCCTAAAACTAATTAATATAGCATCTTACCATATCTATTTATCAGAGTGAGCTTATCCTTTTTCATTTTCTTTTTCATAATATTCCTGGCTTTTGGTACTTGTTCTTTTTTCCAGTTGAACTTATTTGTTGTACAGAGAGGACACTAAAAAACCTTTGCTTGTTCTAATCTGTGTTTCTTCACACATAAACATAACAACTACATGGGTTCATTTCAACTAGGTACTGAACCTTCTAGAATATAACTAACTGGCATATATACTCAAAATGGTAGGTGGTTGAAATCTGGGAAATTCAGTTTCCATATATATGGCCTCGAAAAGGAAATAGCAAAATCATGCAGATGAAATTCTAGAGGAATGGATGTTTTCATGTAGGTTGTCAAAAATCTTATTCTTGTTTCTACAAGGATAAAACCAGTCAATATATGGTAATGATGAAGGATCCCATAAAATTATGTAGGATTGATATCTGATTTATTGACTAGGATTTTTCCTATCTTCTTCCTCACTTCTCAAAATTCATTTGGCATAATCAAGTATCATTTTTAAATTCTGCATATGTTTCACTTGACATGTTACCAACCTCTTTTGGACTCTTCTACTGTGTTGGCACTAAACTTAGAACAGTTTCCTTGGGAATCTGATGCCCTTTCATTTCACATCCTAAATATTGACAATCACCAGTGAAATCCTAAAATCTTATTTTTCCCCTTCTAAAATCTTATTTTTCCCCTTGGATTTTGTACTAGGTTTGATTTTGTTTCTTATTTGCATTTTCCATTATAGAGAAAGTGACAGCAAGCATGTTGCCGTAAACGCTTAAGCTCCACACCCTGCTTTTATAAAGTTGATATTTTAGCAGGTGGCTGTTCAGCCCACAGAGATTTCAGAGTCAATAAATATTTTTAAATATCTTATTAGAATCCTTAATCTTGGTAATCTTCTAAGGTATATATCATTAATCTTGTTTAACAGAAGAGTAAACAATCTAAAGAAGCTGAGGGGAGAGAAAACAAAAGGTATATTTATTGCGCATCTATTATATGCTAAGAATTGCTGAGTGCTTTACTCCATGAGGGTGGCGACCATGGTCACTGGTCATGGTTTGTTTTGGTCACCAGCCTGTCCTCAGTATCTGGCATGTTGCCCAGGACATAATGCTTGCTGAATATTATTTGCTGAAAGCTTGAGGGAGAATCCATGCTTCCAGGCTAGACAGCAATGGCTGGTGAATAGCAGGGCTGTTCTCCCTGTTTTGGCATGTATGTGTGTGGTGCAGCCACATCTGTATACCTGTAAAAGAAAAGCCCTAATAAAACTGGATTACTTTAAGCTCTGTGGCAGATCCATCTATTTTCAGTGACTTTGGGAAAACCTAGAAGAATTTTTATTTTCCTACCATTAAGTTTTCACCTTTGCAGTTTTTAGTTTCTCTATGTTAAGGATGAGGAAGAGGCATCAGGGCAGCCCATGGAGAAATATTTCTTGTTCTATAAAGAAGTACCTGGAATGTATGTTTCTCCTTGTGAAATGTTCTTACACTAACTTCTTTAACACTCTAAAGCATTACTCTTTCCTGCATTGTTTGGGTTCAGTTATAGACCCACTGCCAAGATAACATAGTTCCTTCGGGGGAAAACGTGTTTCATATCTTCAAGTTTCAATTTATACTTTTGTGGCAAACCAAGGCCTGATTTTCTGTTGGCATTAATGATGTGTTATCCACAAGACTTCTTTCCATTAGCAGAATTAATAAAGGGTTGATTACATCTCCTCCACAAAGCCACTCAGTTTTTCAGTTTTTCCATCTTCATTGCTGCATATGCCTGTGACACAGCTCATGATTAATCACTTACTTTCAGGCTATAGGGCTACTGTCTTTCTCAACCCTGGAAAACCTGGGAAAGGTTACTATCATTTACCACACAAACGGAAAGGAACATCAGAATAGCTTCAGGGGTTCCTCCAAATCGGAGATGATTTTTCACAGAAATGTATTTTAAAATTTGAGAGCAGTTGTGTGCCTTTTCTTCTAAACTGCAGAACGATTTAATGTCTTTTTAATGTGAGAAGCAATTTGCATTGTCCTGAAGTGTTATAGCCTTTAAACCAATCATGAGATTGCACTAGGCTCCATTTGCTCCCAGATCTCACGTGCTATAGTAACAGTGAAGGAAAAACCATATTCATTTCTCAAACACTGTTGGCTGTTCCTGTTGCAACTAATAAAGAGGTTTGGCTTTTAATTTGTTGTTGGTTTCTGTAAAGCACAAATTATATTACTGGTTTTAAATGATGAGGTATGCTATTATTTTAGATATGTAAAGAAACAAGACTGTGGTGTGCAAATTTAATTTTAAATTGCTTGATTAATTCATTTTAGTGGCATGTAGCAAAGACTATTCTTTATTATGCTGGAATAAGCCAATTTACTGTAAATCACTTTAACAAATGAAATGCCTGAAGGTACCTTATAAACTGCAGTACTATTTTCATTGTAGGGAATATAAATGAATCAAAATGCAAATTTCTAAGGCAGTTTAAAAATGTTTCTAGTAGCATTTTGTATAAATCATTGACCTGACTTTCATAGTTGATTACATTCAGCTAAGATTTTGTTCGTTTACATTTTTCTTCTCTCAAAGGCTAACAGAGATCTGAAGTTGCCCACCATTTGGAATGATAGATTTGCCTTTCATTTGGTTGGTAAGGAAGGTTTCACCATGTTTCATTCTCACTGGCCAGAAGGTAACTTTAGAGGGTGGTGAAACTTTCAGGAAAATCTGAGTTGACATATGCAGCCAATGCAACATGAATTTTTATACCAGGTGTGAGAACTTTTGATATATTCCTTTGAGTGAGAAAAGCAAGACATACACAAGCATGTAAAGACAGTTATTGTATATACACAAAGCCATATCATATGGGTATGTACCTATATATCTCAATATTTAGAGATAAAAATATATAGAGTTATAGCAATACAATGCAATGCAAACATGCTCATTGTTAACGTGAGTTTTCCGGGGAGTGGGGTGGGTGGAAAAAAAGCCAGGAAAAGAATGAAAAGACAGAAAATATTGCCCTAAAAAGCAGATTTCATGTTTGTAAAAATAGGCATGTTTCATTTACCAGTTGGATTATTTTTAGAGGAGATAGAAATAAGGTACAGTGGAAGCTCTTCTCCATTTATAGAGAGTAAGTAAATTAGATTTCTTTACATTTACCACATCTTAAACACTAAATATTAAATAAGGCAACCTGCAAATTTGATTACGCCATTTGAAAAAGGAATATGATTTTTTGTAAAGTGAATGAATAATCAACCACCTTAATTATTGTGTATGAAGTGGCAGGCAGAAACCACACAATAGAGAAGAGTGATTTTTCATTATAGGACTTTATCATTCCTTTAGTCAACAAGCAATTATTTAGCACCTATTATGGGCAAAGGCCCGCCTTAGGTGCTGGGCAGGCTATGTAGAAATAACACAGTGCAAACTTTAAGGAATTTACAGTATAGTTGGGGAGACCAACAATCAACTAATGTATAGCATGTTTGCCAAGTGAAAAAGGGAAGAAAGAAAAGCATTCCAGGCAGAGACAGTAGCACGTGCAAAGCCTCAAAAGTGAGAAAGAGAATGGCATGGGTATGGACTTGTAGAACGGAATATGACTGGGCAATATGGAGGAGGAAAGCTAGCTGGACAGAAGAAAGCTTGAGAATATTAGGAGACAAAATTAAGGTAGATTTGGATTAGATTGTATAGAGGCTTGGTGGACATGCTGTGAAGAGTTTGGGCTACCTACTACAAGTAAAGAGGTGCTCTAGAAAGTATTAGTGCAAATGTGACATGATTACATTTATCTTTTTAGAAAGATGACTCTAACAGAAAGATAGAGGTTATATTTGAAGAGAAAATAATGTGAGGCAGTGAAACCATTTACGAAGATTTTGTTGAAGACAAGTACTAGAAAATAAAAGTATTTAGAAGAGGAAGGAGCTATTGTGGCAGAGGATATAAAGGAAGAATTGATAGAATATAGTGATTGATTGATTGTTGCAAGAGGTTGGTCAAGAATGTCAGGAGTCAAATATGCCTCCAAAGTTTCTAAGAATAAAGTCAGTGCAATAACTAATTTTCCCCATTAACTCCATGAGAAAAGAGAAGGGCTTAGATTTAGAACATGCTGATAAACAGGCCAGTTCTAAACATAAAGCTAATTTTAATTTAATGTTTATTATATATCAGGTAAGAAACATTATATGCACTATCTCTTTACTAATATACACTTAATATGTGTATGAGTACCAATTATGTGCCTGAAAATGTTTTAGACATTATTATATTTTCATCTTATAAATGGAAACAGCAGCTTAAAGTGGTTAAGGAACTTGCCGATGGCATCACAGTCAATTGATGGTGGGGTCAGAACTAGAATATAGATTTGTTCAGCTCTGTAGGTTAGGCTTTTCAATAAACACACTGTGTTGTCTTTTTGACGTTGTGTAGGGTGGGTAGGCTCCATGTTTCCCAGCAAAGCTGGAGACATACAGACTACCTGGTGTTACATTTATTTCAGTGCCTCCTGAGTGTCTCTAAATAACATATTTTCATTGATACTTTTTCATTTTCCAAGCTATGGATTTTTCTCTATGAAAAATAAAGATATAATTATTTCCTCTCCCTACCTTGCTATATATATGTAACCTTTTTATTTCCCATTCTGCCAATACGGTGATGATTTAACTTTGGTTTAATATACTCATTTGCATGTTTTGAATGTATTCCCTAATCACAACTGCACCATGTAGAAAAGTCTGATTACTTTTATTTTGCTACATAATTTTTACATTTGTCTTCTTTTATTTGCTTAATTTTCTATGTACTTATAATTAATCCAACCTCAGACTATCCACCAACTGTCTAGAATGCTTCTGAATGCATTAATTTATATTCAGTTTTCTATTTTGCCTTCCTAAAGATGTTTCTCCTACATCCTTTTAACTTATTCCTAAGGAACTGGATTGGTTCCTTTTCTGCTAGGTATATCTCTGACAACCTGGGACCATCGTTCATAATCATTGTGAGATGCCCTTTACCTCTTCTCTGTGTTGTATAGCCTGTTTCTGATTTTTCTTGTCTTTTCTATTTAATTCTCATAAAAGACAAATTTTATAACAATTTTGCATGTTTAAAAATATTTATTTTTTTCTTCACTTTTAAATAGTAATGTGGCTTGGTAATGAATTCTAGGTTGAAAATCATTTTTGTTTGGAATTCAGAAAGGATTCTATCGGTGTTATCTAGGTTACAGTGTTGAGATTGAGCACAACGATGGGATTTTTGTTTATGTGTGGGTGAGTGGGTAGTGGTGGTGGGGTTCTTCTCTCTACATAGTCTCTCTCTCATTCCTTCCTCTCTCCCTCTCCCTTCCACCTGCATCTTTTAATTTAGGAGCTTTCCTTAGATGTGTATAATCTGTGACTTTTTGTTCGATTTTAAGAAGGGGAATTAAAAAGCTAATTAAAAATATAGGAACATGATGAACATGATGTAGCTTGTCAACTGAGAGCTCCCTTGCAGGTTGCTCTAACTAGGCCTTTTGAATGAGGAAATGCTGATGTTTATATCCTCTAGGGCTGGGGAGATTCTGCAAATAAAAATTTTCTGTCTCCTTCTTGGAAGGTGAAGTCTAGCTGATAGCCTCGGTGAGCCCAGTGGGATAGAGATCTTTATTTTTAGTAAGGTGTCTTTTGAGGATAATTGTTCTCAGTGACTTCCGTCAAGAAGGGAGGTACCTCTATTTTACCTTTCTCAAGGATTAAAAGAAAAAAGAAAAAGAAAAAGAAAACAAAAAAGGTATTTTGTTGGAGCAGAGCATTGCTAGTTTCCTGGCTATAGAGAGTAGGTTGGGATCTAGGACTTACTATAATTCCCTTTTTGAAGCCTTTCCCCCTTTACACTCATTTTCATGATAACAGATACTACCAATTTCTGAGTCTTTTGGGGACCTGGAGTGTATGGCTACCAGCTAAGGATTCAGTTTTCTTATATCTGCTATATTATTTATTTTTCTTCTGCTTTATATCTCCTCCAAATTTATTTTTGTTTCCTTATGTTTTTTTATTTTTTTTTTGTGGATTTGGTCCTTTAAAAACATCTCTCCACTATTTTAGTAGATTTTGAATGGGTAGTGAAAGTAAACATGTGTATTCATTTTTCCATCTTTACCTAGAAATCCAAAAAATGCCAAGAAACTCTTTTGTGATGCTGTTATGCTTTTGATTCCATTTATTTAGCTACTTTCTCTTGTGGCATCCTTTACTGAGATGAAGAATCACTAGCTAGAATACACTCGTCAAGGGCAGATCACCTGAGGTCAGGGGTTCAAGGCCAGCCTGGCCAAAATGGTGAAACCCTATCTCTACGAAAAATTTAAACAAATAGCTGGGTGTGGTGGTGGGTGCCCGTAATCCCAGCTACTTAGGAGACTGAGGCAGGAGAATTGCTTGAACCCGCGAGGCAGAGGTTGCAGTGAGTCGAGATCAAGCCATTGCACTCCAGCCTGGGTGACAAGAGCGAGGCTCTGCCTCAAAAAAAAAAAAAAAAAAGAATACACTTGTCTAATGGACTGGAACAGCCATGTTTTATTTTTGTCTCTGCCATCAGTTGGCTTTGTGACTGGAGTGAAATCCCTTAAACTCTTTTCCTTAGTCTATGTCTCTATAAAATAGAAATAATACATTATGCTCACAGGTTATTATGATGATAAAATCAGATAACACGGCAGTGTATTGTAAAAGGGCTTTAATGTGCTCCATAAATGCAACCTAATTCAAATGTGAAGACACCTTAGTGCTCTTTATAGTATAAACCATGCCAATTTATAAACCTTTTTCCCCACAGATTCTTTTTTTTAGTGCCTGATTATTTTTGTTGCTCTTCCCTGAAACATCTCTTTCTTTTCCAAGAGCAGCCTACTGCTCTGCCCTATGCCAAGAGGAATGAAGTGATTATGCTCAGCTCTTTCATGTCAAACTTCTGCCAACACCTCTCATGGCATTTCTTCACTACAACATAAACAATGAGGGAATAAATTCATCTTTAGTTCATTATGTCTTCTCTGTTTTCTCTGCCTTTGAGTATTCCATCTGGTTATCCTAGTTGAGGGATTTTTCCTTGTGCCATCACCAAAGTTGCAAACCAAATGATAGTGTGACAGTGCCTATCAGCAGCTTGTTCCAACTGCCAAACAGTGGAATATACTTGCTTTACTAGCTGAAGAAAAAATACTGACAAAAAAGGCCTGGATTCAGTGACCTATGCCAAAAATAGTTAGGAGCAGAAAAAAACAATGAATCACTTGTGATTCCCAGCAGGTAGCAAAGAATTCCAAAACAGCTGTTCTTCTCCTAAACTTTCTCTGAACGATTGTCTCATGATTCTACAGCATCAATTCCTGAAATGTATGTGCCAGAGACATGATTCTTCTGCACCTTTGCTAAGATGTTTCTCTTGAGGCATTTGATGGTTGGGGGCTATAGTTTTTGCAATATAGAAAGAAAATGAGATGGATTTTGACTTCTGGGTTTGGCAGAATAATTGAGACTAGCCTAGCCCTCCAACTTTAAACAACTAGATGGATAAAATATATGGAACATTATATTTTTGAACTTTGGGTAATAGACATTCCAGAACTCTCATCCCTTAGAAGGGAAACAAATAGGGTGAGTCCTAAAATCACTTTGGTTTTCTGCCAGAGAAACATCATTTTCTGCCAGGATGAACACTGATTTGAGAACACAGAGATCACAGTGTGAAGAAATGGGGCAGCTAGGATTTGCAGGATGGACTACAGGAGAGGAAAGAGCTAGTCAGAGAAAGAACTCCAGAAATCTGCATATCGGTGGGTTCCCTTGAGTCTGATGCTAAATACAAATCCACAGATTGACACAGTGGAAACCAAAGAGGCTGGGAAAGATAATTGGGTAATATGCTGAGAAAGTTCTCATTACTTACACAGGGCTGAAAGATGTTCAAATCTTGACTGGCCAGAGCAGAGAGTCCTCATTTAACATCGAGGACATTGCTGTAGACCCTTCAGAAAGGTCATACTTTAGAAGTATGGCCAAACTAGTTCTATCGTAAAGGCTACTCAAGACCTTCCACAACAAACTGAAAAAGAAGCTTTGAAAAGATCAAAATTATTGGCAAATAAATTAACCACTTGTCAGAACCAGGTCCAACACTGTTTAAAGGCTGAAACAAAATCCAGTGTTCCAAAATGTAAAATTAGTAATGGCCAACATCCAGTAAAATATACTAAAATGGTACAAAACTTTTAAACAGCTATTATTAATAATGTTTAAAGATATAATGAAATACATGAAAATAACAAGAGAATTATAAACTATTAAAAAACTCGCAGCAGAAAAATGCAATATCTGTAATATTTATTATTTGGAAAATTAGGGCAAAATGAAGATTTTTTAAATAGATAAACAGAAGATTTGTCACCAGACACTATAAAATTTATAGTGTCACCAGACACTATAAAATTTAATATTGAGGGAAAACACTATCAGATGAAAATTTGTATGTATATAAAATGAATGAAGACTGCTAGAAGTGGTAAATAAGAGAGTAGAGATCAAATTTTTTTCTAATTTAAGTTTTGTTAAAAGATAACTGTTAGGGGGAGGAGCCAAGATGGCCGAATAGGAACAGCTCCGGTCTACAGTTCCCAGCGTGAGCGACACAGAAGATGGGTGATTTCTGCATTTCCAACTGAGGTACCAGGTTCATCTCACTAGGGAGTGCCAGACAGTAGGTGCAGGACAGTGGGTGCAGCACACCGTGCGAGAGCCGAAGCAGGGCGAGGCATCACCTCACCTGGGAAGCGCAAGGGGTCAGGGAATTCCCTTTCCTAGTCAAAGCGGTGACAGATGGCACCTGGAAAATCAGGTCACTCCCACCCTAATACTGTGCTTTTCCAATGGGCTTAAAAAATGGCACACCAGAAGTTTATATCCCACACCTGGCTCAGAGGGTCCTATGCCCACGGAGTCTCGCTCATTGCTAGCACAGCAGTCCGAGATCAAACCGCAAGGCGGCAGTGAGGCTGGGGGAGGGGCGCCCGCCATTGCCCAGTTAGTTGTTTGATTAGGTAAACAAAGCGGCCAGGAAGCTCCAACTAGGTGGAGCCCACCGCAACTCAAGGAGGCCTGCCTGCCTCTGTAGGCTCCACCTCTGGGGACAGGGCACAGACAAACAAAAAGAGAGCAGTAACCTCTGCAGACTTAAATGTCCCTCTCTGACAGCTTTGAAGAGAGTAGTGGTACTCCCAGCACGCAGCTCGAGATCTGAGAATGGGCAGACTGCCTCCTCAAGTGGGTCGCTGACCCCCGAGTAGCCTAACTGGGAGGCATTCCCCAGTGGGAGCGGACTGACACCTCACACGGCCGGGTACTTTTCTGAGACAAAACTTCCAGAGGAACGATCAGGCAGCAGCATCTGCGGTTCACCAATATCCGCTGTTCTGCAGCCACTGCTGCTGATACCCAGGCAAACAGGTTCTGGAGTGGACCTCTAGCAAACTCCAAATGACCTGCAGCTGAGGGTCCTGTCTGTTAGAAGGAAAACTAACAAACAGAAAGGACATCCACACCAAAAACCCGTCTGTACATCACCATCATGAAAGACCAAAGGCAGATAAAACCACAAAGATGAGAAAAAAACAGCAGAAAAACTGGAAACTCTAAATATCAGAGCGCCTCTCCTCCTCCAAAGGAATGCAGCTCCTCACCAGCAATGGAACAAAGCTGGACGGAGAATGACTTTGACGAGTTGAGAGAAGAAGGCTTCAGACGATCAAACTACTCCGAGCTACAGGAGGAAATTCGAACCAATGGCAAAGAAGTAAAAAGCTTTGAAAAAAAATTAGACAAATGGATAAGTAGGATAACCAATGCAGAGAAGTCCTTAAAGGACCTGATGGAGCTGAAAACCAAGGCATGAGAGCTACGTGACGAATGCAGAAGCCTTAGTAGCCGAGGAGATCAACTGGAAGAAAGTGTATCAGTGATGGAAGATGAAATGAATGAAATGAAGCGAGAAGAGAAATTTAGAGAAAAAAGAATAAAAAGAAATGAACAAAGCCTCCAAGAAATATGGGACTATGTGAAAAGACCAAATCTACGTCTGATTGGTGTACCTGAAAGTGACGGGGAGAATGGAACCAAGTTGGAAAACACTCTGCAGGATATTATCCAGGAGAACTTCCCCAATCTAGAAAGGCAGGCCAACATTCAAATTCAGGAAATACAGAGAACTCCACAAAGATACTCCTCAAGAAGAGCAAGTCCAAGACACATAATTGTCAGATTCACCAAAGTTGAAATGAAGGAAAAAATGTTAAGGGCAGCCAGAGAGGAAGGTCAGGTTACCCACAAAGGGAAGCCCATCAGACTAACAGCTGATCTCTCGGCAGAAACTCTGCAAGCCAGAAGAGAGTGGGGACCAATATTCAACATTCTTTAAGAAAAGAATTTTCAACCCAGAATCTCACATCCAGCCAAACTAAGCTTCATAAGTGAAGGAGAAATAAAATACTTTACAGACAAGCAAATGCTGAGAGATTTTGTCACCACCAGGCCTGCCCTAAAAGAGCTCCTGAAGGAAGCACTAAACATGGAAAGGAACAACTGGTACCAGCCACTGCAAAAACATGCCAAATTGTAAAGACCATAAAGGCTAGGAAGAAACTGCATCAACTATCAAGCAAAATAACCAGCTAACATCATAATGACAGGATCAAATTCACACATAACAATATTAACTTTAAATGTAAATGGGCTAAATGCTCCAATTAAAAGACACAGACTGGCAAATTGGATAAAGAGTCAAGACCCATCAGTGTGCTGTATTCAGGAAACCCATCTCACGTGCAGAGACACACATAGGCTCAAAATAAAGGGATGGAGGAAGATCTACCAAGCAAATGGAAAACAAAAAAATGTAGGGGTTGCAATCCTAGTCTCTGATAAAACAGACTTTAAACCAACAAAGATTAAAAGAGATAAAGAAGGCCATTATATAATGGTAAAGGGATCAATTCAAAAGGAAGAGCTAACTATCCTAAAGATATATGCACCCAATGCAGGAGCACCCAGATTCATAAAGCAAGTCCTGAGTGACCTACAAAGAGACTTAGACTCCCACACAATAATAATGGGAGACTTTACACCCCACTGTCAACATTAGACAGATCAACGAGACAGAAAGTTAACAAGGATACCCAGGAATTGAACTCAGCTCTGCACCAAATTGACCTAAGAGACATCTATAGAACTCTCCACCCCAAATCAACAGAATATACATTCTTTTCAGCACCACACCACACCTACTCCAAAATTGACCACATAGTTGGAAGTAAAGCTCTCCTCAGCAAATGTAAAAGAACAGAAATTATAACAAACTGTCTCTCAGACCACAGTGCAATCAAATTAGAACTCAGGATTAAGAAACTAACTCAAAACCGCTCAACTACATGGAAACTGAACAACCTGCTCCTGAATGACTACTGGGTAAATAATGAAATGAAGGCAGAAATAAAGATGTTCTTTGAAACCAATGAGAACAAAGACACAACATACCAGAATCTCTGGGACACATTCAAAGCAGTGTGTAGAGGGAAATTTATAGCACTAAATGCCCACAAGAGAAGGCAGGAAAGATCTAAAATTGACACCTTAACATCACAATTAAAAGAGCTACAAAAGCAAGAGCAAACACATTCAAAAGCTAGCAGAAGGCAAGAATTAACTAAGATCAGAGCAGAACTGAAGGAAATAGAGACACAAAAAACCCTTCAAAAAATTAATGAATCCAGGAGCTGGTTTTTTGAAAAGATCAACAAAATTGATAGACTGCTAGCAAGACTAATAAAGAAGACAGAAGAATCAAATAGACGCAATGAAAAATGATAAAGGGGATATCACCACCAATCCCACAGAAATACAAACTACCATCAGAGAATACTATAAACACCTGTATGCAAACAAACTAGAAAATCTAGAAGAAATGGATAAATTCCTCAACACATACATCCTCCCAAGACTAAACCGGGAAGAAGTTGAATCTCTGAATAGACCAATAACAGGCTCTGAAATTGAGGCAATAATCAATAGCTTACCAACCAAAAAAAGTCCAGGACCAGATGGATTCACAGCCGAATTCTACCAGAGGTACAAAGAGGAGCTGGTACCATTCCTTCTGAAACTATTCCAATCAACAGAAAAAGAGGGAATCCTCCCTAAGTCATTTTATGAGGCCAGCATCATCCTAATACCAAAACCTGGCAGAGACACAACCAAAAAAGAGAATTTTAGACCAATATCCTTGATGAACATTAATGCAAAAATCCTCAATAAAATACTGGCAAACAGAATCCAGCAGCCCATCAAAAAGCTTATCCATCATGATCAAATGGGCTTCATCTCTGGGATGCAAGGCTGGTTCAACATACACAAATCAATAAATGTAATCCATCATATAAACAGAACCAAAGACAAAAACCACATGATTATCTCAATAGATGCAGAAAAGGCCTTTGACAAAATTCAACAACCTTCATCCTAGAAACTCTCAATAAATTAGGTATTGATGGGACGTATCTCAAAATAATAAGCTATCTGTGACAAACCCACAGCCAATATCATACTGAATGTGCAAAAACTGGAAGCATTCCCTTTGAAAACTGGCACAAGACAGAGATGCCCTCTCTCACCACTCCTATTCAACATAGTGTTGGAAGTTCTGGCCAGGGCAATCAGGCAGGAGAAGGAAATAAAGGGTATTCAATTAGGAAAAGAAGAAGTCAAATTGTTCCTGTTTGCAGATGACATGATTGTATATCTAGAAAACCCCATCGTCTCAGCCCAAAATCTCCTCAAGCTGATAAGCAACTTCAGCAAAGTCTCAGGATACAAAATCAATGTACAAAAATCACAAGCATTCTTATACATCAATAACAGACAAACAGAGAGCCAAATAATGAGTGAACTCCCATTCACAATTGCTTCAAAGAGAATAACATACCTAGGAATCCAACAAACAAGGGATGTGAAGGACCTCTTCAAGGAGAACTACAAACCACTGCTCAGTGAAATAAAAGAGGATACAAACAAATGGAAGAGCATTCCATGCTCATGGATAGGAAAAATCAATATTGTGAAAACAGCCATACTGCCCAAGGTAATTTATAGATTCAATGCCATCCCCATCAAGCTGCCAATGACTTTCTTCACAGAGTTGGAAAAAAATACTTTAAAGTTCATATGGAACCAAAAAAAGAGCCCGCATTGCCAAGTCAATCCTAAGCCAAAAGAACAAAGCTGGAGGCATCACACTACCTGACTTCAAACTATACTACAAGGCTACAGTAACCAAAACAGCATGGTACTGGTACCAAAATAGAGATATAGACCAATGGAACAGAACAGATCCCTCAGAAATAATGCCGCTTATCTACAACTATCTGATCTTTGACAAACCTGACAAAAACAAGCAATGGGGAAAGGATTCCCTATTTAATAAATGGTGCTGGGAAAACTGACTAGCCATATGTAGAAAGCTGAAACTGGATCCCTTCCTTACACCTTATACAAAAATTAATTCAAGATGGATTAGAGACTTAAATGTTAGACCTAAAACCATAAAAACCCTAGAAGAAAACCTAGGCAATAGCATTCAGGACATAGGCATGGGCAAGGACTTCATATCTAAAACAACAAAAGCAATGGCAAGAAAATCCAAAATTGACAAATGGGATCTAACTAAACTAAAGAGCTTCTGCACAGCAAAAGAAACTACCATCAGAGTGAACAGGCAACCTACAGAATGGGAGAAAATTTTTGCAACCTACTCATCTGACAAAGGGCTAATATCCAGAATCTATAGTGAACTCAAACAAATTTACAAGAAAAAAACAAACAACCCCATCAAAAAGTGGGTGAAGGATATGAACAGACACTTCTCAAAAGAAGACATTTATGCAGCCAACAGACACATGAAAAAATGTTCGTCATCACTGGCCATCAGAGAAATGCAAATCAAAACCACAATGAGATACCATCTCACACCAGTTAGAATGGCAATCATTAAAAAGTCAGGAAACAACAGGTGCTGGAGAGGATGTGGAGAAATAGGAACACTTTTACACTGTTGGTGGGACTGTAAACTAGTTCAACCATTGTGGAAGTTAGTGTGGTGATTCCTCAGGGATCTAGAACTAGAAATACCATTTGACCCAGCCATCCCATTACTGGGTATACACCCAAAAGATTATAAATCATGCTGCTATGAAGACGCATGCACACGTATGTTTATTGCGGCACTATTCACAATAGCAAAGACTTGGAATCAACCCAAATGTCCAACAATGATAGACTGGATTAAGAAAATGTGGCACATATACACCATGGAATACTATGCGGCCATAAAAAATGATGAGCTCATGTCCTTTGAAGGGACATGGATGAAACTGGAAACCATCATTCTCAGCAAACTATCGCAAGGACAGAAAACCAAACACCGCATGTTCTCACTCGTAGGTGGGAACTGAACAATGAGAACACATGGACACAGGAAGGGGAACATTACACACTGGGGCCTGTTGTGGGGTGGGGGGAGGGGGGAGGGATAGCATTAGGAGATATACCTAATGCTAAATGACGAGTTAATGGGTGCAGCACATCAACATGGCACATGTATACATATATAACAAACCTGCACAATGTGCACATGTACCCTAAAACTTAAAGTATAATAATAATAAAATTAAAAAAAGATAACTGTGAAAGACAAATTATAAATTTTTTGTCAGTTTTATGATGTAAATAAAAGTAAAATGTATGAAAGCAAGGATAGCAGGTTGATATGAAAGTATACCATTGTAAAATTTTTATAAATAAAATAATAGTATTTAAGGTAGACTGTGTTAATTTAAGATGTATATTATAAACTCTAGCACAATCTCTAAAACAATACAAAGATGTATAGTCAGTAAATGCAATAGGGGACATAAAATGAAACCCAAAATGTAATCAATAAATTCTGAATGACAAGAGAAGGAGGGGGGGCCCTGAAAACAAATTTCAAGGGAAATTAGGAAATTATATGAATGGGATTAAAAATAAAGACACAGCATAGTGAAATTTGCGAAATGCAGCTAAAGTTGTGTTTAGAGGGAAATTTTTAGCTTTAGTTGCTTACATTAGAAAAGAAAGGAGGTTTCATTGATAATCTAAACTTCCACCTTAAGAAGCTGCAAAAAGAGTGAATTAGACCCAAAGTAAGTAAAGGGAAGAAAATTGTAAAAACAAGAATAGAAAACGATAAAATACAAAATGAAAAAAACAATACAGAAGAATCAGTGGTACCAAAAGCTAGTCTTTTGGAAAATAACAAAATCTATGGCCATCTGGCTAGACTGCTCAGAAAAAAAAAGATACCAATTATCAATTACCAGATACTAAAATATGAAAATAACAACAAGGTAATATTAGGAACAACTTTGAGCTCATAAAATTAACAAACTGATGCATTTTATTTTATGTAAATTATGCCTCAGTAAAGATGATTTTATAAAGAAAATAAACAAGTAATTTTAATTGCTGTGTTCACTGAGATCCTATCTAGGTATTTGTCATAGATCATCTCATTAATTTCACAAATCATGGTATAACTTAGTGGTTTGGAGTATATACTCTATATACCAAGACTACCTGTCTTTGAATCATGGTTCTGTCACCTAGTAAGTGTATGACCAGGAAAGTTATTTAACCACTAGAATGTAAACTGTACATTGGTAGGGAACTTCTGTTTTATTCATCTAGAAGAGTTCCTGGCACATGGTATGCATCCAGTAAACATTCGTTGTTAAACTCCAGTTGACAGATGGGAAAATTGTGGCAAAAAAGAGATTTAGTGACTTTCAAAGCTTGCCAGGAAGAAAAAAGCTCAAGATTGAACTCATATCTCTCAGATCCCAGGACTAGTGTTTTTTTTCTTCTGTTGATATGACAGACAAATGAGAAATAGTAAAAGGTTGCCCAATAGGTAACTATGCATTTTCTATTTACTTATAAGAAATGAAAATTATGTATATTTCTTTTTATTATCAAATTAATTCTTGGAATGGTTACCTCTCTCATTTTTAATAAAACTGTTATTGCAGGAGAAAAATAAAGCAGGCATCATTTTTTTCAATACTTCTATTAGATGCTGCTGCTGAAATTGTACAGTAAGAGCTCAGAATGTAAGCACTGACTGCACCAGAGTTTTTCTAAGGCAAATAAACAAAACCCAAGTTAAGAGTTTTGATTTCTTGAAAAGCATGCTCTTTTGACTCATATTACACTCATCTAATATAGGCCATCAGAGTAGTATGTTATTAAATCCTATTCAAATCCATTTTAAAATGTGAAACATATGCTCAGTAGCTGGCTTGGCTTTGAATAAGGGATGAAATTGAAGAAATAAGATTAACCTGTATGTGTCAGACATTTTGCTGTTATTTCTAATTTTAATCTTCACAAGTGTGAAGACTTTACAATGCATAACCACAAATCTCATTTTAACCAAATTGCATAGAGTGCAATTGTGTAGAGTTATAAGGCTAGTAAATAATACATCTGGGATTTTAAGATCATAAACCATAATCATGATGTGCCTTGTGTGTTTTGGTTGTTTTTTTTTTCTTTCTAATAAGATAACTCAATTGAAGCCTGACTCACCAGGAATAAATTAAAACCCATGAATATCCTCAATTATATTTCTTCAGCTCTTAGTTTCTTCATGTTACAAATGTTTTCTTAAACTTTATTGTAGAAAATTTCAAATATGTTAAAGTGAGAGGCTAGTACAGCATACTCCCATACAGCCATCTCTCAGTTCCAGCAATTATCAACTTGTGGTCAACATTGTTTTACCACAACTACTATACTTGTGCCTACTCTCTCACACCTCCAGTAATCATTTCATTTTTAAGACTTTTCGTATGGATTTCTAAAAGATAGGGAAACAGTTTTAAAAAATCAAAATTATATCATTATCAAACCTAGATGAAAAGAAATAAATTGATACATACTTAAATGTATAGAATATACCTCATAACTTATATGAAAATGTGCTAAATGTATAATATAAATATTAAAGTTAATACTATAAATTTTAGAAAAAAACTGTCGGAAAAGTATTTGTGATCTTGGGCTAGATAACAATTTTTTAGAGAAGGCACAAAAAACATAAACCATGAAAGACAAAATGACAATATGGTCTCCATAAAAATTAAAAATGTATTTTTCAAAAGACAGTGTTAACTATAGGAAAAAAAGCTATAGGCAGAAGGCAATATTTTCAAAATTTTTATCTGATAAAGAAGTTATATCGGAATATAGAAACGACTTTTACAACTCAATAATAAAACAACTCAGTTAAAAATGGGCTAAGATTTTGATAGATATTTCACAAAAGATACACAAATGGCAAATAAGCATATGAAAAACAGGCTGAACATCATTAGTCATCAGCAGTAAGATGCCATTGCACAACCAATAGACAACTACGATGAAAGAGGCTGCAGTAACAAGGATTGGTGAGGATGAGGGGTAACTGGAACCCTTGAACATTGCTGTAGGGAATGTAAAATAGTACAGCAACTTGAGAAAACAGTTTACCTGTTTCTTATCAATTTAAACATACTCTAACATACTTCCTAGCAATTCTTCTCCTAGGCATTCACTCATCCATATAAACTTATTTTTACATGATCACCTCTTTAAAGACCTATCTCCAAACACAGTCACATTCTGAGGTAACTAGGAAATAGACTTCACCATATGCATTTGCAGGGAGCGGGCATAATTCAGCTGATCCATACACTTTCATGCTTTTCTAGGGTCCTCTGCCATGTAGTGCTGCAGAGCATTCAAAATACTACTTCTCTTTTTAAAATTAATGTTAATTTTAATTTTAAGTTCCAGGGTACGTATGCAGGATGTGCAGGTTTGTTACATAGGTAAATGTGTGCTATGGTGGTTTGCTGCATCTATTAACCCGTCACCTAGGTATTAAGCCCAGCATGCATTAGCTATTTTTCCTAATACTCTCCCTCCCCCAATCCCGCCCCTCGACAGGCCCCAGTGTCCATTGTTCCCCTCCCTGTGTCCATGTGTTCTCATTGTTCAGCTCCCACTTATAAGTGATAACATGCGGTATTTGGTTCTCTGTTCCTGCATCAGTTTGCTGAGGATAATGGCTTCCAGCTCCATACATGTCCCTGCAAAGGACATGATCTCATTCATTTTTATGACTGCATAGTATTCCATCGTGTATATATATATATGTACTGCATTTTCTTTATCTGGTCTATCATCGATGGCAATTTTTTTTTCTTAAAAAATGTAAAGAAAGAAAAGACACACAGACTTGTACCCAAACACTAATAGAAACATTATTTATAATGGCCCAGAATTAGAAATAACTCAAATGTCCATCAGTTGGTGAATGGATTAAAAAATTGTGATATATCCATAAGGAAAATATTACTCAACAATAAAAAGGAAATGCAGTACTGATTCACAAAGCAGCATGAATAAATATCAAATGCTAAATGAAAAGAAGCCAAGACTGTACTCTGTATGATCCCATTTATAGGAAATTGTAGAAAAGGCATATTATAGTGATAGCAGATCAGTGGTTGCCAAGGACTGGGACTTAGGAAGGAGATTAACTGCAGAGAGGCATGAGGGAACTTTTTGGGGTGATAGAAATGTTCATGATTATGATGGCTTTATATGACTATGTTTTTCAAAACTAATAAAACTGTACACTTACACTGGGGATACAGCAGTCAATAAAATAGGTTAAGGGCTTTGTCTTCATCCAGTTTATATTCTCTTCTCTGCACTTGACCACATATGGTGCAAAACTAGTATAGAAGTCTACTAATTTATGCTAATCATTGGCCAAAACCTACTTGTAAGGAGTCTTCTTTCAGGCTGCAAGACCCATGAACACAGCTGCTGCTCCAAATCCCATGCAAATGCCTGTGGTTGCTTCCATGACAAAATACCATAGACTGGGTGGCTTAAACAATAGATATTTATTTTCTCACGGTTCTGGAGGCTAGAAGTCCAAGGTCAAGGTGTGGGTAGGTTTGGTTTCTTCTGAGGTTTTTGCTTTTACTTGTAGGTGGATGCCTCTTGCTGTCCTCACATGGTCTTTTATTTCTGGGTGTGTACCTATGGGGCACCTCTGTGTGTTCAATTTTCCTTCTCTTGTGAGAACACTAGTCAGATTGAATTAGGGCCCACTCAGATAAGTTCATTTTAACTTAATCACCTCCTTAAAGGCCCTATCTCTAATTATAGTTACATTCTGAGGTACTGGAGGATAGGGCTTCAACATATGAATTTACAGGGTGTGAGGGCAGCATAATTCAGCCCTTATATAGTTTCATGCTTTTCCAGGACCCTCTGCCATGAAGTCACTGAGTATCTAAAGTATCACTTGTTAAGTCCCTGAGAAATAAATCACAGAAGTGATTTTGGAAAACTTTCACACATCTTACATTATTTTCAACATTGCAAGGAAAATGAACGAGAATGACAAAGAAGCACTAGTCTCTGTTCTCAAAACTCAAATTGAAGAGTCCCCTTTTGTAGGTTTCATGGTCTCTGTACTGTGGGATTCCACATAGCATTTTCCTTTCTGCTTCTTCAAGCAGGAGACAGGCACAGCAGGGAATCTCTGAGAGTTTATCTTGATTTTCACCTGTTACTCCTTTTCCTATAAGTAACATCCAGTAACTCAAAAGCACGAGTTCTGGGTAGCACTAAAAGAAATGTGGGATCCCTACATCCTGGGTGTCTAGCCCAAAACCAAATTGGTTTTGAGTTTCTTGAGGGCAGTGATCATGCCTGTTATGTTTCTTAGTACCTTTCATAGTACTATTGCAGGCGAATCCCAAAATTGAGGTTCACCCCTGGAGGCCACATGGGTTCTTGGCTTCATGCAGGGAAGAATTCACGGGCGAGCTGACAGAGTAAAGTAAAGGCAAGTTTATTACAAAGCAAAGGAATAAAAGGATGGCTGCTCCATAGGCAGAGCACGGGTACCCCATAGGCAGAATAGCACTAGGTGGGGGGCTGCTAGCTGGCTATTTTATGGCCATTTCTTGATTATATTCTAAACAAAGCGTGGGTTATTCACAAGTTTTCTGGGAATGGGGCAGGGAGCTCCCAGGACCAGGGATTTCTCCCCAGTCTTGACCATACAGTGTAACTTCTGGACATTGCCATGTGGCATTTATAAACTATCATGGTGCTTGTGCTAGTGTTTTAATTAGCATATGTTGTAATTAGCAGAGCGAAGTTGCCATGTTGGTTTTAGTTGCCATGTTGGTTTTAGCTGACATAGGCTGGTTTGTTTACTTATCCTCTCTTATCAATGGGGTCTCCTATTTTAGCAGCAGGATTATGTGACCCATTGTCTTGGAAACTGGTCCTGTTGAATTCCTATTTCAGTACTGCGCTTAGTACTATGCCCTTAGTAGAAACTAAGCTATCTGCTTAATAAATATTTTCCAGAGGAAGTTAGGAGGCTTTCAAAGGTGTGAACTACATTTCCCAGAATTCTCCTTGCCATACGATCCTTAGTGAGCATCTGTGGAGGTGGAAAAGAAAGAGAAGCTCCAGGACCAGCTGCAAGCAGGTGTGTGAGCCAACTGGAGGCTCGAACAGCTTCTAGGTGATCTTGAGAATTGTCACACTGATTCTGCAGACTGAGCTGATTGGTGGAGGTGTCCATGAGGTTCTTGAGATTCATGATAGCTTTAAGTGAATGCTTGCAATCACCACCCATTGCCTGGGTGAAGAATGAAGAGTTTGAGTGAGGAGCTTTCTAGAGGTTCGACAGATTGGCAGCAGTGTTTGCTTCATCTCTTGAGAACCATCCACACTGGTGCTTCAGGCTGGCATAGTTGGTAGTGGCTTTCCTGACTTTTGCATCTCAACTCTTCCAACCTTGGAAAAGCTTGAATTCCCATACTAAAACCCTTCCTATCTGAAATACAGGAGTGGCTCTGGTTTTCCCCTCTGAAGCCTGGTTAATACCTAAGGTCACACAACTGAGCACAGTCAGAAGCTGTTCCAGAATTGCACTCAGAGAAGGTTAGAGTTAGAAGAAAACTCAGAGATCTCTATCTAAATTTCTTATTTTACAAATGAGGAAATGGGCTTCATGTAATATAGTGACTTAGATGAGAAAGGTAGAATTGCATTAAGAATCTGATTTCAATCCAGTGCTTTTTTATTTTTATCATACATAATTTACCTTTAAAAATACACATGAATATGAGCTTCAAATCACTGAAAAGTTTAGAAAATATTCAGAAATAAAGAGGGATTGTTTTGTTTAGGTAATCATCTGTATATTTATTTATTTTGTGAATGTGAACTGTTCATGTGTGCTCTCTCTCTCTCTGTTCCAGTGAGAGCACCAGAAAGTATTTGATGAATTCTGAAGTTGAAATGTACCTGTGGCAAGAAGCTTGTTCAGGGTTCTTAGGACAATCTAGAGAAGAGTCAGCTATAGGAAAGGAGCAGGTCAGCATGGAAGTGAAAGGACCATATTAAATACATTTTAGAACCCAGGATAAATCAGAACAATAATGAAAAATGTGGAATAAGGTTGAATAAACTCAGATATATTATGGTGATTAAAAAAAAGAAGACATTACCAAGATATTCTGTGTTACCAAGATATTCTATGTTGGAATATTGCATAAATAAATAGGTGACAGTCTATCAAAACAATTCAATTTTGGGTGCCTATTAAAATGATTTTAACAATGAGTTTTTAATAATATGAGAGAACACTTTTGACATCATGGCGACTGGATCACAAGAAGGATTCAGAATTATAAATGAGTTATCATCTCAGCTGTATTTTAAAACGGCACAGAAAAAAAAGGACAAAGGAAATTTGCCACAATTATGCTGGTATTCACTTGGAGTAGTGGGACTATGGCAAAACTCTGTCTCTCTGTCTCTGTCTCTCTCTCTCTCTCTGTCTCTTTTTTGCTTTCATTTTCTCTTGTCTAAGCCTTCTAGATTATCTGCAGTGAGCATATTACACTTACATCAGAATTAAAACTGCAGAGGAAAAACTCGTAGTTTCGAGAAGTAATAAATAGGATAGTTAATCAGGGACAAGGTGAAGTTTTTCCGTAAGGAAATCTTAGCTACATCTTTTTTGTTTCATGAACTGCTCACTGTTTCCAACAGAACATTTGCAATAAAACCTGAATGGCTGACTGACTGAGTGACTGGCAGGTTTTAAAAGGTTCTGTCATGTAGTCAGAGAAGTGCATGAATTCTTTCTCCTGTGTGACATGCAGCAAATAAGGATGGAGGGCTGTTTTCTTAAATAATCTATGTAATAGGCATAGCTTGTAAGTGTTGTTTTTTTTGTTTGTTTGTTTAAATTAGATTTGAAATTTTAACATATACCATGGGAAATCTTTCAGGTCCTTAGCATGTTCATGAAAAAGCATGCTGGGTAAAACAATCCCTGTCTCAGAAAAAAAATGCTGCTTATTTTTGCAAGCTCCCTTTTAACTTCACAAATATTAATGACCATTATTAAGTTATCTCTTTACAGAAATGCTCAAACATCTTGTAGATTAATAAACCTCCAGGGTTGGTATTTTATTTTGATTCATTTTGTAGAAATGCTCAAAAGGATGGAGCCAGTGACTATCATTTCTCATATTATGTGGCTTGTTGACATTTGAATTTTCAAAATATCAAGGATTTCTCCAGTGTGACTCATGTGAATCGTGTGCCCTTTTTTTCTTTGAATGATGGGCTGCTGATTCAGAACTATATTATAAAATTAGAAATGCCAATATTTCATTCAGCCTACTTTAAAAAACCTGTTCTTTCAACTTTTGGTTTAGTAATCTGCAAACTAATTTGATAATTAAATTTGGTATAGAACTTTTATTTGTATTTTAGTTTTATTCTTAATGAGCAAAATAGCCTGAAGCACACTGGTAAAATGTGTATGGGAAAATGGCAGCAGTCTGGGATTTTTGCTATGCAGGTCATAGTAATGTCTCCATCATTAACTTCCTAGGTAGCATGAGCTATAATCCTTGGCTTTAGTGGCTGTAATATGAGAGTTTCCTGCTCTTGATTTTAGTGGCTATAAAATGAGAGTTTGTTGCACTATATTAGACGGGATAGGTTAAATTATGCTGCAGTAATGAAGAGCTTCCAAATTTCAGGGCTTGAAACAATCAACATTTATATCTTGCTTATACTATATAACCATCATGGGTCAACTGGGGTCTCTGTTCCCAAGTCATTATCATCCTTACTCTGGGACTCAGGCTGACAGAGCAGCCACTTCCTGAAACATTGATGGTTGCCATAGCAAAGGTAATTGAGAAGATGCCAAAGCATGCATTGACTCTTAAAGCTTCTGCCCAGAAGTGACACAAGCTACTTCCTTACATATTCTATTCATCAAAGCCAGTCTTATGGCCAAGCTTAACTTAAAGAAAGGGAAACTCGATTTTGGTAAAAGTTAGTATGATCTATGGATAATCAATCTATAAATGCCTTTTAATGTCTAGGAGTCTATGCTTCTGAAGTGCACTGAGAGTGGTTATGATAAACATTTGGCTTAAGAACAAATATGTACCTTGTTGCAAAGACTGATGATATTTTGGGGATTTTTATGGAGAGCATTATAGATTCACATGCAGGTGTAAGAAATAATGCAGAGAGATCTTTTATACACTTTACCTGTTTCCCTAGTGATAATATTTTGCAGAACTGTGGCATAATATCACAACCAGGATATGGACACAGATGCAACCTGCCTTTCTTATTCAAATGTCCCCAGTTTCACTTGCACTCATTTATATTTGTGTATGCGTGTTTAGTTCTGTGCAATTTTTATCAAATGTGTAGTTTTCATGTGTCTTCCACCACTGTGAAGGTACTAATCAGTTCTAACACTACAAGCATCCTTCTCTCCTACTACTAATGTACTCTCCATTTCAAAAATTTTGTCATTTCAAAAATGCTATTTCAATGTAATCATACAGTGTACAACTTTAGGGGACTGACCCATTTCATTCAGCATAATTCCCTGGAGATTTATCTAAGTTGTTGAATATGTCGATAATCTGTTATTTTTATTGCTATGTGTTATTCAAGGGATGTATATCCTCAGTTTGTTTAACATTTGCCTGTTGAAAGACATCTGAGATAAATGCCCATGAGTATAATTGCTGGATAATATGATAATTGCATGTTTACTTTTATAAGAAATTGCCAATTGTTTTTCAGTGTGGCTTTACCATTTTACATTACCACCACCAATGTATGAATGATCCACCAAATGCTCATAAGCATTTGGCATTTTCATTATTTTTTATTTTAGCTATTCTGATAGATGTGTAGTGATATCTCATTGTAGTTTTAATTTACATTTCCTTGATACCTAGTGATATTAAAAATCTTTGCAAGTGCTCATTTGCCAACTGTATCTTCATGTAAAGTGTCTGTTCATAGCTTTTTCTCTTTATTAGTTTTTTTTCTTTTTTTAATTTTTATTTTTTATTTTTTATACTTTAAGTTTTAGGGTACATGTGCACATTGTGCGGGTTAGTTACATATGTATACATGTGCCATGCTGGTGCACTGCACCCACTAACTCGTCATCTAGCATTAGGTATATCTCCCAATGCTATCCCTCCCCGCTCCCCCAACCCCACCACAGGCCCCAGAGTGTGATATTCTCCTTCCTGTGTCCATGTGATCTCATTGTTCAATTCCCACCTATGAGTGAGAATATGCGGTGTTTGGTTTTTTGTTCTTGCGATAGTTTACTGAGAATGATGATTTCCAATTTCATCCATGTCCCTACAAAGGACATGAACTCATCATTTTTTATGGCTGCATAGTATTCCATGGTGTATATGTGCCACATTTTCTTAATCCAGTCTATCATTGTTGGACATTTGGGTTGGTTCCAAGTCTTTGCTATTGTGAATAATGCCGCAAAAGCCATACAAGAAAAAATAGATAAATCACATGCCATTCAAATTAAAAATGTTTGTTCTGCAAAAGACACCATTAAGAGAATGAAAAGACAAGCTGGAGATCAGAAGAAAATATTCGCAAATCATCACTCTGACAAAGAATTGTTTCTAAAATACAGAAAGAATACTCAAAACTCAACAATAAGAAAAAAAATACGTGTGCATGTTTTTTTCTTATTGTTGAGTTTTGAGTATTCTTTCTGTATTTTAGAAACAAGTTCTTTGTCAGAGTGATGATTTGCAAATATTTTCTTCTGATCTCCAGCTTGTCTTTTCATTCTCTTAATGGTGTCTTTTGCAGAACAAACATTTTTAATTTGAATGACATATGATTTATCTATTTTTTCTTGTATGGCTTTTGCTTTTGGTATCATTTAAAAAATCTTCGTCTATCTCTAGATCCTAAAGATTGTCTCATATATTTTGAGGAATCCAGATATGGGCGTGATTGTTCAGATTCAACTATAGGCAATTACGAAGCTTAGCCTGGCAGGCTTCATGGGGAGAAGCTGACCTCCCCACACCAGATTTTGTATATAGCCAATGCATTGCAATTTTCTGGAGCAAGTTGCAATCAAGGGCCTTCTGGGCCAACCATATTTATATGCATATCTGCATTTCTAGTCTGGGCACCTCCAGTGGGAGGTCTCCTCTTTGAGGATCTACGCTGAGGCACTTCCCAGGCATCTCTGCTGAGACCTCCTTATTGGGAGCCTTGGCTAAAATACTTCTCTCCACTTAGCTTCAGTATCTTTCTACTCCCAGCCTTTCCCCTTTCCATCTCCTCAGCCCGTGAATCCATAGAGAGGCAAGTATCTTTTGTTTAGGGTTTTTCAGCAGTGAGACAATTCCCTTTGTAAGTACTGTGTCTACCTGACCCTCACATAGTGAAATAATAGAGGAAAAAAAATGGAACATTAGGGAGCTAGTGCCTCTTGCTTGCACTGTCACTATAAGTAAATAGAGGTTGGATTGTTACTTTCAGTTTGGCTAGTTGTCCTGATTGAGCACCTCCACATCTGACTGCTTGAATTTTTTTTTAAGTTTCATGCCATTACTATTTATATTTAATTCCATTATTCATTTAGAGTTAATTATTGTATAAATGTAAGGTTTAGGTGGAGATTCATTTTACTTTTGTTTGTGATTGTTTAATCGCCCCAGTACCATTGGTTGAAAAGGCTCTTCCTCCATTAAATTGCTTTTGCACTTTTGTGAAAAAATGGTTGAACATATTTGTCTGGGTCTATTTCCTGGTTTTCTATTTTGTTCCATTAGTATATATCTATATCTCTCTACCAATACCACATTTTCTTGATTACTGTAGCTACCTTTTTAGCATAAATAGTTACTGGATTTTATCAAATGCTTTTCTGCATTAATTGATAGGGCCATATAATTTCTGTTTTTTAATCTGTTGATGTAATAGATTACACTGGTTTTCAATTTTGAGTCAAGTTTGAGTACCTGAAATAAATCTCACTTGGTCATAGTGTATAAGTCTATTTATACATTGCTTGGAATTGGTTTGTTAACATTTATTGAAGATTTTTCCTTCTAAGATGGTGAGAATTATTGATTTGTAGTTTTTTTTTCTTTCTTTTCCTATTTTTGTCTAATTTGGTATACTTGCTTAATAAAATGAGTTTAGTGTGTGTTCTCTCTTATTCTATTTTTATAATAGATTGTGTAAAGTCTATTTTTATCTAAATTTTTGATAGACTTCTCCAGTGAAAGTATCTGGACCTAGAAAATTTTGGGGGAGAGCTTTTAAGTTACAGATTCAATTTCTTTAATGGTTATGAGGATCTCTATATTACATATTTCATCTTTATTGAGTTTTGGTTGTTTGTAGCTTTCAGGGAATTGGTCAAATTTTCTTACTTTATTGAATATCTTAGCATACAGCTGTTTGTTGTATTTCCTTATCTTTTCAGTGTTTGCTGGGTCTGTAGTCACAACCTCAATTTAATTTCAATTTTTTTATTTGTATCTTCTCTATTTATTTTTAAAATCTTATTAGAGATGATCAATTTATAGATTTTATTTTTTTGAAGAACCAGCTTTTTGTTTCATTGATTTTTTTTTTTCTATTTTCAGTTTTGATCATTTTTGTTCTGACTTTTGTTATCTTGTTTTTATTTGGGGCCTATTTTGCTCTTCTTTTTCTAGTGATTTTGAGGTAAGAACTTAGGTTATTGATTTGAGGCCTTTCCTCATTTCTGATGTAAGTATTTGGTGATATACATATCCCTTTTAGCACTGCTTCAGTTGTAGCACATACATTTTGGTATGTTATTTATGTGTTTATTCATTTATTTGAGGCAGGGTCTCTCTCTGTTGCCCATGCTGGAGTGCAGTGGCGTGATTATGGCTCACTGAAGCCTCAACCTCCCAGGTTCAAGTGATCCTCCCACCTCAGCTTCCCCAGTAGCTGGAACTACAGGCCTACACCACCATACCTGGCTAATTTTTTAATTTTTGTGTAGAGATAGGATCCCCTGTGTTGACCAGGCTAATTTTGGAATGTTGTACTTGTCATTTTCATTCAGTTCAATGTAGTTTTAAAAATTTTCTGAGAATTGCTCCTTGATCCATAGATTATTTAGAAGTTTTCTGTTTCGTTTCCATATGTTAAGAGATTTTCCTATAGTCTTGTCTTTAAAAATTGATTTTTTGTTTGACTCCATTATAGTCAGAGAACACATTCTGTGTGATTTCAGTTCTTTTAAATTTGCTGAGGCTTGCTTCATGTTCCAGTGTATATTCTATCTTGAGGAATGTTTCATGGGCACTTGAAAAAAGTGTGTATTTTGTTGTTGGTGGTGCAGTGTTCTATGTAAGTACATTAGGAATTCTTAGTTGATTGTGTTGTTCACATCTTTTAAATTCTTGCTGCTTTTATTTCTGGTAGTTTTTCAGATGCTGAGAAGGGGGTGCTGGTGTACTCAGCTTAATTGTGATTTTGTCATTATGTCATCCCCCTATTTGTCGCTACTAATTTTCTTTGCTCTAAAGTCTATTTTATCACATATTTATGTAGCCATGGCTGCTTTTTTATTTTATGAAAACATAGTGTTTTATGGAATACTATGTAGCATCCTTTTAGTTTCAGCTTGCCTATGTTGTTGGATTGAAAGTGCTTTATTGTAAACAGATATAGTTGGGTCATTTTAAAATACACTCTTGTGTGAAATGGAAAGGGGTGGTGGAGGAGTGGGGATGAATTCTTCCCTTGACCACTTTTTCTCAATCAGAAAACAACAAAAGGGGCTCCTGATCAACTCGATGGTGTTGGTCCTGCCTGATGTTGTCAGAGGGACCATGGTTTGATCATGGAGAGGAATGAGCCTACTTCATTGGGAATTGGCAAATATGGGTCTGGCTTGCCTTCTGTTGTTAGGTAGAGGGATGGATGTATAATGCCCCACTGCTGTATTACTTCAGTCCTAAGATCCTCAGATAAGTTCACTTTCTTTTTACAACCGTATAGAGTTCTCCTTTGATTATCTCTTATGTTATTTTCCAGCTTTATAGTTGTGCTTAGAAGGGAGGAGTAAAGAGAAATTGATTTATTCCATCTTGTCCAGACTGGAAGAGATATTTTATATGCTAAATTACCAAATTACAAATTCTCTGAAGGTAAGATTTGCCTTATTCTCCTCAGCGTCTTTCACAGTCCGTAGTGTAGTTTTTAGTGTATCGTAGCTTTTCAATGACTGCAATTTTAAGTGAGAATTATTTAATAAAATAAATAATTGTAATAAATAAAATAAAAGAAAAAATTATTATTTAATAAAATACTGAATTATTATGAGTGGCTACATATTTCAGTTACCATATTTCTTTTGCAAATACATTTCACTTAAAAGATTTAACTTTTGGATCTGCTGAAGTCATTGTTAAGATGGTTCTGTTACAAATGAGTAGAATGAAAAGTCTATTCTCACAGGTTGTCATTTGGAAAAAGGGAGATAAAGGGTCAGGTTATTAGTATTTAACAAGAAGCCCAGTTACTGAGTTGGCCAGAATGCTCAGATGAATGGCTATGAAAAGAGAAAACATAACATCACTAGGAACTTAAGTAGAAGTTAATATCAAATATTTGAAATTAATGAGTATTTCTCCTTTCTTCTGTAACTTTCATCATCTATACTATAAACCTAACATTTGATTGTACTTTGTTTTCTACTCTTTATTTCCTCTGGTTAAGTGTTATTTTACTCACCCTTCTATATAAACTTCTTCATGCGTCAGAGGGAAGCCTCATACTTCATCTGCTTTCTCCTTCATTCCTTCAACTCTTCTTCTTGATAAAAATGACCTTATATTCCAGGCTTTCTGTCCAGTTCTAATTTTAAGTGTTCTACCACATTGTTCCACTAACCATCAACCTGTCCCAGAATTTCAACACTGTAATGTATAAGATAGATTTAGCAAACTGGATTTCATAATTGAAGTAATACTGTAATTCTTTAGTAAGATGAACTGTCTTAATAGTTGCAGAGAGAGATGAACTGTCTTAATAGTTGCAAAGAGATGTAATTTCTGTTCTAAATTTAAAGCAAAGAATAGACAATTATGCTGACATTGGAGGCAATGGCTAAAGTGATGATATGGTTTGGCTGTATTCCCACCCAAATCTCATCTTGAATTGTAGCTCCCATAATTCCCACGTGTTGTGGGAGGGACCCGGTGGGAGGTAATTGAATCATGGGGGCAGGTCTTTCCTTTGCTGTTCTCATGGTAGTGAATAAGTCTCACAAGATCCAATGGTTTTACAGAGGGGAGTTTCCCTATACAAGTTCTCTCTTGCCTACTGCCATATAAGATGTGTCTTTCTCCTCCTTTGCCTTCCACCATGATTGTGAGGCCTTCCCAGCCATGTGGAACTGTGAGTCCATTAAAACTCTTTTTCTTTATAAATCACTCCATCTTGGTTACATCTTTATTAGCAGCATGAGAACTAATACAAGTGGTATAGTTTCTGAACTCTTGGTTCAGAAAATACATTTGTTATACCCACAGTGACTAGTAAATTATCTTGTTACATTATAGGATGTTAGAGGATAGAACATCTGTATTATATTTGGCATAGTTTCCATTGTTGCTAAAGTCTACAGGAGAGGAAAGAAGATAGATGCTTTCACCCATGGAATATTCAATCCAATATTATAATGATCAATCTTACAAAATAATTTTCTATATCTGCTGACTTTAAGTGTGGGAAATGAATATCTTTAAGTGTGGATATGACAAATTCTATTTTGTTTGTGTATCTTTGGAGAGATCTTTCAGATTTGTAGGTGGAAACACATTTTAATGTTGTTTTCTCTGGGTGAGCAAGTGACATTCTCTTAGGAAAAGTAAGCCATTAGAATGAAATAGAATAATCAAGATTGCCCAGTTTATTAATATCTATTTTAAATTTTAGTCATGAAACATTATTCAAACAAGAGAGAAGATCCTGAAGACCTAGTGCAAGAACTATTTTGAACTTAGGAATTCTTAAAGCTGGCACCATGCTGGCCCTTATTAATTATGCATCCTACAAATTTCTTCACTTGCTTGGGTTTCTAGTTCTTGTAAACTGAAAATTTTTTGACAAATGCAATAGCTTTATTTATAGTAAAATGAAGTCAAGAGTGAAAAATCATAAAGTGCCTTAAGGCATATCCTGTCAAATTCCAGTTAGAGTCTATGATAGTTATTTTAATATTCAACTAGGCTGGGCGCCAGTGGCTCACACATGTAATCCCAGCACTTTGGGAGGCTGAGGTGGGCGGATCACAAGGTCAAGAGATCGAGACCATCCTTGCTAACACGGTGAAACCCCGTCTCTACTGAAAATACAAAAAATTAGCCGGGCTTGGTGGCAGGTGCCTGTAGTCCCAGCTACTTGGGAGGCTGAGGCAAGAGAATGGCGTGAACCCGGGAGGCGGAGCTTGCAGTGAGCAGAGATCATGCCACTGCACTCCAGCCTGGGTGACAGAGCGAGACTCCATCTCAAATATATATATATATATATATATATTCAACTAGTGATTTTTGAGCATCTACTGTGTGTGAAGCATTGAACTCTTAGGTTCTGAAGATGGAATTGCAAACAAGTAGTGGTCCCTATCCTCAAGAAATGCTTGTAGTCTAGAGGACTTAGCATCAGTAACAAACAATAAATTATCTCCTGAAAACATCGTTAGCTTTTAAAACAAATAAGTTTTCACTTTCCCCAGTCTATTTGTTTTGTAAGCTATGACTGAATTGTGTAGACAGCTCATAAACTGCTCTGATTCAGGTTCCATGTATCATGAGTTTAGTTAGTGGTGCTGGTGTGTAGCTGGAGGTAAATCCCATGTAAATTGAGATTTGGGTTATGGATCTTGACTGGAAGAGTTAGACCCACTTTTTGAGGAGGAGGAGGGTGAGAACTTTTAACATGTGTATCAGTTTTCTATTGTTGCTATTATAAATTATTAAAAACTTGGTAGCTTATAAGAAACTCAAATTTATCATCTTGCTATTCTGTAGATTAGAAGTCCAATAAAGGCCTCAGTGGGCTAAAATGAAGGTACCAATCAGGTTGTGTTTCTTTCTGGATGCTTTAGAGGAGAACCAATTTCCTTTTCCAACTTCCAGAGGCTACCCATATTCTTTGATTTGTGGCTTTCTTTCTCCATCTTCAAAGCCAGCAATGGCAGGTTAATTTCTTCTTACATTGCATCTCTCACCTTCTTTCTTAGTCACATTTCTCTGTGATGCAACTCTTCTGCCTCTCTCTTCCACTTTTAAGGACACTTGTAAAATATTGGAGCCACTTGGATAATTCAGGATAATCTCTCCATCTCAAGGTCATCATATCTGCCAAGTCCCTTTTGCCATATAGGGTAATACATTCACAGATTCCAGTGTTCAGAGCATAGATATCTTTGTGGGTCATTATCCTGCTTACCGCCACAGGTTACATAATCTTAAAGTTAACCCTGATATGGCTTGTGATTCACTAGAAGAAATGCAGCACGATGGAGCCTGAGCATTTAGCCATTCCTGCTATAGAGACTGCTAGTCTTATCACAACATTGAGCAAAATAATGCTAAACTAGCTGGTTATATAATCATTCCTGCTGTGAACTGAATGTTTGTGCTTCTCAAAATTCCTGTTTTGAAGCCACAACCCCCAATGTGACTGTATTTGGAGATAGGGCCTTTATGGAGGTAATTAAGGTTAAATGAGGTCATAAGGATGGGGCTTTGATCTGAAAGTATTAGTATCCTGATAAGAAGAGACAAGAGAGAGCTTGCTCTCTCTCTCTATCTCTGTATCTCCTTGCCATGTGAAGACACAGAGAGAAGGTGGCAAATTAGGAAAAGATCTTTTACCGGGAAGCAAATTAGCCAGCACCCTGATTTGGAACTTCTAGCCTCCAGAGCAGTGATAAAATAAATTTCTGTTGCTTAAACCACCCGTTCTATGGTATTTGTTATGAAAGTCTGAGTTAAGTAAGACAGTTCCCAAAATGGCTTTGTCTCTCTCCCTTTTTCACTCACTGGCCCATGCGCCTTCTTGCAGCTTCTGCTCATTTGTCTTTGTCCCAACATTTATTTAAGAAAATAAAAAAGGGCATAAAACATGCTCAAGGATAGATGAGAATGTAACATTTTGCCCAGAGGAAAATTAAATTCCGAGACAGCATTCTGAAGGTGCATATTAAGTGAATTGGTGGGGGAAAATGTAATTTAGGAGACAGTGAAATTGCATTTCAGTGGAGAAGCAGTCATCTCGCAGCAGCACTGTGTCTATCTGGATATCATTTCCATTTCAGTTTCCTGCATGTGTCATGTCCTAGAACTCCCCCACTACATTTCTTTTGAGACCATCAAGAATAGATAACTCAAGAATGATCTGCAGGTCAGTGTACAGGTGAAGGAAGTTTCTAACACTGGAATAAAGATAGGGCAAAAATGAAAATCATAAGCATTACGTTTCTTTTCATTTTTGATCAATTGATTTCCTATAATGTATTAGGCAGTATAATAGGATGTTAGAATCAAAGTTTCAAGACATCAAGATGTAGTAAATTTCAGATATCAAAGTGAGTCAGACCATCCTTTAGGAATTTCAAAGTAGATGGCCAAAAAATTCTCAGAGAGCCTCACTGTCAGTAAGGGATTTAAAAAAATGTGGGTGTTTGAAAATGAGAATATTTTATGAAGAGGAATGCTTTGGAGGAGGTTGTATAAACTTCCCACCCTATATCCTGTTGCTAAGGAGGCAAGGTGGAGAGGTATGTGCTCCTTATTTCGAATTCAAGGGAGGGAGGATTAAGTGGGATCATTCAGAGAGCTTCATGAACAGTCCCTAGAATTGTTAGATACAGTGACTAATATCTGACTCATGCCTGAGAAAGCTAAAAGTGAAGAAGTTATCTAAATCTTCCTGTGGCTTCAAAGTAGAGGAATGGAACTAGAAAGCAACTGCTCTCCCTCCACCCTCTCCACCCACCAATATTGGGCCAATGTGGCAAAAATTCTGGGGCCAGAATGGGAACCTCACCTTAGGAATGTCTATTTAATAAAGGCTCCTGCTCAATACAGTTCTTTACAGAGATTTGAGGTATATAGTGTTAAATAAAGAAAGCCTGCCTCCAGAGATGCATTCCCCATGACAATGGAATTATGGTTGGAGGGTCCCAGCAGAGGTGCCTCTGAAAGAGCACAGACACATGCTTAGAAAAGAGTCACTGTCAAACAGCTATCATGTCCTGAGAGGATGTACCCATTTCCTTTGGCTCTTCCTCTTTTCCCACTCTGTATTCTAATCCAGAAGGAGCAGTGACCTAGGAACAGGGAATAGAAATCCCAGATGGGGAGAGAGAGTTAAAGAATTATACCTCCACTCCTCCAAGGATGGGATATGTTTAATATTGACTCAGGTTTGATTGAAACTTTTGTTATTAGTAGGGACTGGCAGTTTTTGGTTACTGTTGTGCTTATGTAGTAGAGACTGAAGGTTTTTGGTTACTATTGTGCTTGTGAAGTGATAATGAAAACTTTGTTACCCAAAGTGACCATTGATACATCAGGCCATGTAGCCTGATAGATTTCCATCCAGTGGCAGGAGAAGGACAGCTTCCTTTTAGCAAATTCACAGGGACAATGGGAGAGCAAAATAAAGTTGCTTTTAGGATCTCACTCTGTGAGTCCTGTTTGTTCAGCATACTGATGACAGTGGCAAATAATAGGTATATGTTGGGGCCAATGCCCACAAAATTGACTGAATTCAGATCAATATGCCTATCTTCAAAAGGATGAATCACTTCTTTTTTCTTCAAATACAGAAAAACTACTTAGAGCTTTTCAAGGCCACTAAATTCTTAGTTCTGACTTCAGAAAAATATTTGTTTCAGATATGGAAATCAATCTGCCTGTCATTGTCAGCTTCTCTTTCTAGATTAAACCGTCTTTCAATCTCTCCTTTGCTAAAAAGTAATAGTATCAGGCTGTTCTTTGCTCCTGGGAAGTCACTGAAGAGACAATGGTTGTATCCTGCTTTCAAAGGCAGCCTATCATTAGGGTACCCAGAAGTGTACTGTTGGGGTATTAGTTAGGATTCTATAGGGGAACAGAACTAATAGGATAGATGTGTAAGTGAAGCAGAGTTTATTAAGGAGTATTGACTCATATGATCACAAGGTAAGGTCCCACAATAGGCCATCTGCAAGCTGGGGAGCAAGGGAGCCACTCCGAGTCCCAAAGCCTCAAAAGTAGAGAAGCTGACAGTGCAGGCTTCAGTCTGTGGACTCACTGATGTTAAGTCCAAGAGTCATTTATACTCACTAGTGTAAGACCAAGAGTCCAAATGCTGAAGAACTTGGAGTCCAATGTTCAAGGGCAGGAAACGTCCAGCACAGGAGAAAGATGAAGGCCAGAAGACTCAGCAAGTCAGCTCTTTCCACCTTCTTCTGCCGGCTTTATTCTAGCCACGCTGGCAGCCAATTAGATTATGCCCACCCAAATTGAGGGTGGGTCTGCCTTTCCCAGTCCACTGACTCAAATGTTAATCTCCTTTGGCAACACCCTCACAGACACACCAGGAACAAAACTTTGCATCTTTCAATCCAATCAAGTTGACACTCAATATTAACCATCACAGGTACCTAGTGGCCTTCATCATGGTCTTGTGTGAAAGACTCTACACAAAGAGAAATGATAACATTTGAATCAATCAAATCCTTTTTTTTTTTTTTGGTGGGGAGTGGAATTTAGGCTAAGAGACTCAAAGAGAAGTTCTGATTGATTCTGGGTGCTTATGTTGAAAGACACCTGTAATTAACAGCACATCCATACTGTGGAGATTGGAACTGCTGTGCAGGGAGAAAGAGAAATGTTAGGAAGGAGACTTGGGAACCCTTAAAGCAAGAATGACCATTTTGGTCCTTTAGCTATTTTAGTTTTAGTTCCAATTCCATGGACATCATTACAATAGAACCTTCCTTTCATGTAAAGAATCTTCCTTTCCTTTGCCAATAAAGCCTCTGATTAGAAGATTGCCATAAACTTGACTTGGTGGCACTGATTTCATTGCATACCCCACACAATTTTACCCTCAAAATTCACTCAGATCTCAGCTGCTGTGTGATGGGCTTTTGGTTTTCTGCTTATTTTAAGGGCAGTTGACTTTCTAAGTGCTGCTACTGTTTAGCACCTACTATTATTTCAGTTGGTTCTCAATTGTTATTTATTACTTTAATAATTTAATCTGGATTGATTGTCTAAATACCTGTGTCTTCACATGGACAAGCAGACCACCTTCTATATATAGACTTTAAATATGATTATTATGTACATTGCTTAAAGGTGGCTGAGATTGTTTTATTATTGTAGATGTTACTGGCTGATCTTTTCAGCTGATCTTTTTTATTGGAAATCGAGAAAGAAATGCTAATGGAGTAAAAAGGTCTTTTGCTTTAGATTTTGGAAAATTATGTTTAAGGTGGAAATAAATATACTCCATGTAAGGGATTCCTTGAAGAATTATTGTTTAATAACTTTAATTGTTTCCTGTCTCCTCTGTACTTTCACTACTCTCTCCCTGCTCCTAATCTCTGGCATTTGGTCTAGTCAATATTACATATCCCCCAGGGTTACCCTCTGTTTCCCCAGATGCATTAAGGCTTTGAAGTAATCTCGTTTGGAAAGGTAGCATTTTATCCTGGTGTGATATGAGTGTCTGGCTTCTTTAAAACCTTATTAGTAAACTGAGGGTCAAATTTTAAGTCCCAGCCCAACATTACCAAGTAATCTACATGGACCGCTGAAATACCCTCATGATAATGCTTGTAAAGAATGTTGGAGTATGGTAGATGGTACACAGGCTCTAAAGTCATGAGAACTCCCTGATCCTGGATTCCCCACTTAACAGCTCTGTGATACACTGTCTCAAGGATATGTACTTTATCAGCGGGACCAGTAGGAGGCACTAGCTTGCCTTTTTGTGTTGAGTATTTCATATGAAATAGTAGTCAGTGATTCCCTGAGCCACTTTCAGACAGAAAGAAGGAGGAAATTTTATTTAGGGAAATTCTCTCTCTCTCTCTCTCTCTCTCTCTCTCTCTCTCTCTCTCTCTCTCACACACACACACACACACACACTCCTCCAGGCAAAAACTTAAAGTACTAAATAACAAAGCTGTTTTGCGTATTTTAACAGAAGATTGTGATCTGGGTATATATGTATACATTATTAGATAACTAATTTTATACTTGGTTCATGTGAGTTGATCTGAAACATTATATTTAAGCTCCTTAAGTACTGTGGATCCCTACAATAGTTAAGGTAATATTACCTGCTGTAACAAATAAACCCCCAAGTCTCAGTGACTTAACACAAGAGAAATTTGTTTCTTGTTCATACAAAGTTCTTTCAGAGGGAACAGGTGTTTAGGCATGTTTGAGTCCTCTGGGCATTCTGAGATTTAGGCTGTAGAGCCTCTGCTGCTCTCTGTGCATGGCTTCCAAGGTTGCTTTAATCATTAGTACTCAGTCACCTGAGAGTAGAAGAGAGTACGATTTACCTGTCAGAGGATTTATGAGCCAGACCTAGAAGTAGCACACATCATTTCTGATAACCTTGGTTATTGGTAGAACTTGGTGACATAAATATACCTTTCTACAAGTGGGGCTGCAAACTATGTCCCCAGGAAAAATAGAGAAGGTTTCTGTGAACACGTAACAATCTCTGTCACAGTCCAACCTTCTGAGAACAAATATCAGTTTCATCTTTCTCTGTCATCTGGAACCACCTCCTCCCCTTCTTTAGTCCAATTCCAGGCCCTTAATACCCGGATGATACACAGTTTTCTTTATAATGTCCAAATGTGGCTTCTCATGAGCTGGCAACTCAACCTGTGGACAAAAAAGACTTGTTATCTTCCTTGTCCCTTTCCCCCCGGTATTCAGGGATGAAGTACGGACACTTTGCGCAATAACTCCGTTCACAATAATACTTCTATTCGTAAGAAGAAAGAATGGGAGACACAGCTCACTGGATTAAGCAATGATGAAACCCTACTGGGCAAACTTTATGAAATCCTTTTGCCAGGCCAGTGGAGGAAGTTCCTGGATTAGATGCTGCTGCTTCTCACTAGGGGCAACATTCTTCCCTTGTCCATTGTTCTCCATGGCTCCTGGCTCTATCATCTGGAAAGTTCTTCCTTATCCATTACCTTCCATGACCACATTCAAAGTGGATGTTGGAGAGTCATCCTCCTTGGTCTTGTACAGGTTTCGTAGTCTATTTTCTCCTCATCAAGTTTAGGAGCCCAAAGGTTGTTCAAAGAAAGGCATTTTTAGTCTGGTCTCCTAGTTTCTTTGACAATCAGCTCCTTCAGATATTTCCATTTAGTTTCTAGTGCCTATAAACATGTTAAAAGTTTTTTCTTATTCATAATTATCAATCTTGATTTTTTTTTTTGCTTCCTTACAACTTAGTAGTTCTACCATGATAGTACCTGAGATAGAAGATCTAGATGGGAAGACCATACCCTAAATCTGTCTTTACCTCAGAACCGAGTTTTAATGAGCCTTTGTTTTTCAAATCCATCTTATCTCTTACTATTTATTTGTTTTTCAAATCCGTCTTATCTCTTAGTATTCATTTGTTTTTCAAATCCATCTTATGTCTTACTATGTATTTGTTTTTCAAATCCATCTTATCACTTACTATTTGGGATGAGGAAGCAATAGACATTTACATACAATTGAGGCAAAAATTTCTGGACTTTCTCCATTCCATTTTGCAAAAAAGCTATCTCTTTAATATCTAGAAAGGAAAAGCCAACTCCCTTTACGTTCCGGTTCTTTGTAAGCCTTTCCCTTAGAGCAGAGGCTGGCAAATTTTTCTGTAAAGTTTCAAATTATATTTTATTTACATTGTGGGCCATATGGTCTTTGAATTCTGCTTTTGTAGTACAAAAGCAATCATAGACAATACGTAAAAAATTAGGGTGGCTGTGTTCCAATAAGCTTTGTTTAAAAAAAAAGGTGATGGGCCAGATTTGGCCTTCAGGGCATAATTTGCTGACCCTGCCATAAAGCTAAGGACTGAATAGGCATGTGGCCAGCCTTCATGTTTTCCCAGGTGAAAGTTGTACTCTTTTTTTTTTTTTTTTTTTTTTTGTGAGTCTCACTTTGTCCCTGAGGCTGAAGTGCAGTTGTGTCATCTTAGCTCATTGCAACCTCTGCATCCTGGTTTCAAGCAATTCTTAGGCCTCAGGCACGCACCACCACACCTGGCTAATTTTTTATATTTTTTGCAGAGATGGGGTTTCACCATGTTGGCCAGGCTTGTCTCGAACTCCTGGCCTCAGGTGATCTGCCCACCTTGGCCTCCCAAAGCGCTGGGATTATAGGCATGAGCCCCCATGTCCAGCCGAAAGTTGTACTCTTGAGAAATAATAACATTCTAAACCACTAACTGACAGAACAGATTCTTCTCTTGGCCAAGGGGACCCCATAGAAAACTTGGAAGCTAAGTTCATGGCATGATGGGATGGGAGGTCCGAAAGGCTTCATGATATTCCCTCCAAGCTCTTAGGCTTTCTTCCCTAAGAGCTAACTAGACACCAGCTTTTTCAAAAAAAGTCCACTCTGATAATATCTACTAGTTTATTTTCCCAGGTACAGAACAAAGAGAAGATGAGAGTAATCATTCCTTCACTCTACGCTGAGATGTCTGCTTCCTCCATTCCTATTTACTTTGTTCACCTTATCTTACATAAAATGTAGATTTACCGAGTACTAACTAAAATCTCACAAGTATGTAATCATTTGTCTCATTGCCGCACCGACTCCTCTACCTTTGTAAAAGAAAATGTATAAATATTAAACCTCCGAGAACCTCTTTGGAAAAACAGCCACAGATGTGTCTGTTACTTGAGTTTTTCCTGGATGCATCCTCAAACTGGCACAATAAACCTTGGTGACTGAGACGTGCCTTTCAATCACTCATTTTGGTTGCCACTATGATTACTACTTTCTTTTCTCCTATTGTACAACCACTAAGCCAATGCCATATGTGCTAAGGTTTTCATTAATGCAACACGCCACTTCCAGTACCAATATTTGTAAGTTAAAATAATGCATTTTTTAAAACGAATAAACTCACAAATGTCAGTGACTAGAAGTTTACGGTGTTGATGCATAGCATCCACACAGCCTGCTATAAGGGGTTGTTGATATTGGGCACACTGCTCCATGCAGACATTCGGGGATCCAGGTTGACAATGGTTCTGTTTTCATCAACACAAACTTTCCTAGTCACCTTCAGGATTGACATCCAGCAAATAGAGGAAGAGAATAGATGATCACTTATGAGAGGTTTTTATGGGCTGTGTGTGAAAATATGTGCAGTACTTCTGCCCACATTCCATTAGCTGGCACACAGATACACTTGATTGCAAAGAAGGTGGGAAAATGTTGTCCAGCTTTATACCCAGGAAGACATAGGCACATATCTTCGTAAGTAGATTTGAATTCTCTACCTCTGTCACTAAATGCATACTAATGATTGAGGCTTTGCACACTAGCTGTGTGACTTCAGACTAGGCTCCGGGCCCATTTCACTTTTCTTATATTAGGCATAAAATCTAAATTAAATGTACAGTGCATAAAAAGATGCCATGTTAGTTGTCAACTAGTAAACACTGAACATGCCTACAGGAATATAGTAAACACCTGTACAGCAGTCTCCTAGTTTTTTATATATTAACATTATATCATATTTGTAAGAAATAGAACATTATAAATACAGTTTGAGGCTCTCTGGGTACTTTTCCACAGTTCCATTTCTCCTTCACCTTCCTCACTACCATGAACTCAGTGTTTATTATTCTTATGTACTGGCCTCACATTTTTATGATTCAAGTGCTGCTGACTTACTGACCAGTTTTCAATTATAGTCCACCAAATATCTCATGGGATGAATGGCATGGTATTTTAGTTAAAGCATTTCAGGAATGGAAGGCCCCCAATCCTTCAATCCTCAAAACTAATCTCTAGATTCAGCAACCCTTGTGGGGAGCGGAAGAGGTAAGAAGTTAAATAATCAGAGGTCAGACCATGATAGGCCTCATGTTTCAGCTAAGAATTAAGATTTTTTTTCCTGAAAACAATTGGAAAGCTCATTAATTAATTGGCATGGTCAAAGTTGTGGTTTAGACACAATTTTTTTTTTTTTTTTGAGACTGAGTCTCGCTGTGTTGCCCAGGCTGGAGTGCAATGGCGCGATCTCGGCTCATTGCAACCTCTGCCTCCCGGGTTCAAGTGATTCTCCTGCCTTAGCCTCCTGAGTAGCTGGGATTACAGGCATGCACCACAATGCCCAGCTAATTTTTGTATTTTTAGTAGAGATGGGGTTTCACCATGTTGGTCAGGCTGGTCTCGAACTCCTGACCTGGTGATCTGCCTGCCTTGACCTCCCAAAGTGCTGGAAATACAGGCATGAGCCACCACACCCGGCCTAGACATACAATTCTTAAAGTCATGCGAGGACTGCCCAGAGCCAAGAGATGTCCACCATAGTGCTGAGAAGGGATTATCAGACTTCAACTAAAATGACAGCCCATGGAGATGGACCTTTTCTTGGCCTCCACCTGGAGGGTTCACAGGTTTTTGTTGCTGCTCCAGAAAGGAGTGTACTCCTATTTGGCATGGGAGTGCCGTAAGAAGAAACTTCTGCTTTTTACTCGCATTTTGACCTTGGCCATTTGAACTAAGTGGTAAAGGGGACTCTCTCCAGCAGGATTATAGCTCTGTTGGCCTCTGAAGTGCTTTAACTGCATTATATTTTTAAATCTGCCAGCAACTATGTGAGATAGTTACCATTTTTACTCCATTTTAAAAGTGAGAAAGGTGAGACCCAAAGGGGTTAACTAGTTTGCTCAGACCAGAAAGAGTATGAGCTGGGTTGTCCTTAACTTAAATCTGACTTTACCATTTTACTGCATTGTCTCTCTCAAGGGACAACCATCAACTAATATTTATTGAGGAATTACTATGTGCCAAGTACTGCTCTAAGCCCTTTTATCTGTTATTTCATTAATCATGAACACAACTCTCTAAAGCAGGAAATATTATTATCCCCATTATACAGTTGAGGAAACTGAGGTCCAGAGAATTTAAGTAACTTGTTCGAGATGACACATCTGCTTAAGATGATTGAGACAACATAAATCTGAAGCCATTGTCCTTTACTCTCCCTAATGTAAAGGTTTATTATTTTGGTCTGCAAAACTACAGGAAGAAGGAAAAGGCTATAATTTAAAGCATCTTATTCAACATTGTTAATATAGCCCTAATTTCAATGCATTGCTATAAGCCACACCCAATACCAGATTAGAAGGGACAGAGATGATTATTATAATAATATCTGTAGTTTTGCTTCAATCTTTACCAAAATGACTTCTTATTATGGTGGAGTAGTCAAAGGAGAGCCGGATTAAGAGCAAGGAGGCTAGGATTCTAATCCTGGCTCTGCCACAAACAGTCTTTGTGATTGCTGTGGTCTGAACGTTTATGTTGCTCCAAGATTCATGTTGAACCCTGATCTTTATTGTGGTGGTATTAAGAAGTTGGGCCTTAGGAGGTGATTAGATCATGAAAATGGACCTCTTATGTATGAGATTAGTGCTCTTATAAAAGAGACTTGAGGGAGCTTTCCGTTGTTTCCACTGTATGAGGATGCAGCAAAAAGTCACCAGCATTGAAGTAGGGAGCAGGCCCTCCCTCCCCAGACAAGAAATCCGCTGGCACCTTGATCTTGGACCTCCCAGCCTACAGACTGTGAGCAATAAATTTCTGTTGTTTATTAATTACCCAGTCTAAGGTATTCTGTCATAGCAGCCCAAAAGGACTAGGACAGTGATCTTGGGTGGGCCACTTAATATCACTGGGCTTTAATTTTTCCATCTCAAAAATTCAAGAAGTAAACTATAGAAACTCTAGTATCTCCACCCATTCTGTGATTCTCTCTATGCTTTTTTTCTCCCAAATTACATCAGAAAATGTCTTCAAAAAATGACAGGAAATTTAAGTGACAAAACACTTCAGAAATCCAACAAAATTATTTTTAATATCTCCAAAGATAAGGAAAGGTAATATTTATAGAAACACTGGGAATTATATTTTAAGATTTCATTCCACTAATATTATAAAATACAGAATATCTAAGTCATCTGTTTGTACATAAAACAATCCAAGCCTGTGACTCTGGTGGCTAGCATCTTTATTAAAAAAATAAGATTTAAATAAATTAGTTAAACAATATGAGTGTGAAACTGAGTGCATAACTAAGACAGTTAACACGTTTAAAAGAAATCAACTCATGAAATAGTTTTAATATATAACCTGTTGAAAGAAAGCACAGATTTGGGAGAACATGGATGGATAAAATAGAAGATTGATGTAGACAGGATCCTAGAAAACAGCAGTTTCCCCTCGTCCCCCATGGCTAATTCTTTCTAAAGGAGCTATTTATTTATACAAATATATTTGTAGACAAATTAATTATATTTATTAAATTGCTGAAACTGCTTTCAAACCTACTTTCAAATCCTTTGTCATTCCAAAGAAGTGGATCCTAGGGAGGGTAGGGTGAGATAGTTTGGTTTTTTCCCTTTATCTCAAAAAGGAGTTTTGCAGGAGCCTAGTAGCATGTGATCAATTTGTTTAAGTAATGAATAGAGGCAGGCTAATTTCCACAGCCCCAAATTACAATTTCTTGCCTTTGCCCTTAACTAACAGGCTTGGTAGTAATAGCTTGGAAATCTTGAGCTCTGTTACTCCCCATCTGTACCAAACAATTCAGAAAGATACATCATGTCTCAATACTCCATGTGCTGGAGAAAAGGCGAGGTGGAACTGATGCCACTAACTTTCATGGGACTGGTGTGGCTGCGGGCAGCCTCATCAGCTTACCTCAAACATCGTCTTCCAGTATTTTCTACCCTTGACCTTTCTGATCTAAAGAAGTCATTGTTGTGTTTCTAAGTTCCAGGCAGAGTGCTAGGCATTGACGCTACAATGCTGAAGATGCTGACCTTGCTCTAGAGGGCCCAAGAGTCTACCAGAAGACTGCTGCAGTTAGTTCTTTCACTCACTCCCATTACTGCTTCCTCCTTCTAGGCTTATGTTTCCCCCTAAGAGAGAGGCATTGCCTGAGAAGATTTCTAAGATTTTTAAAGAAGAAACCAGGCACAAGTCTGTGAGTTAAGACTGAATAAACCTTATGAAATCAGACCTAGGAATATAGAGCTGAATCATGATGGAGTCCTGGCCCCCAGCACTCTCAATTCCCAGAGTTCCCTCTGCCAGTAGACCAGGGATCAGTAGAGTCTGAATCCCCTGATCCAGTGGTTTGTCCCCTGGGCACATTGCACACACACAGACTTTTTGAATATCTTGGTCCTTCAGGACAAGGGTATGTGGCCTGAAATGTCCACTGATCTTTATTCTTTCATTTCACCAAAGGAGCAGTAGCTGGGCCCCAGGCCTCGCACAGTACAATCAGTGCTGTCGCTGTCACACTTGCCACAGTGACACTGGGTGGCCACTGGGTATGTATACAAGGAATCTGCATGGTGAGCACAGCCGGGCACTCTCACTGTTTCGTATACCAGTTCCTTGAAGGTACATGTTTTCTGGATTTTGGGCCTGGCTGGGTCCTTATACACCAGATCCTGAGGAGTTTAAGAAGAGAGTTAGGTTATGGTATTGTGGAAGTTCCTATTTAGCTTAGTCAAAATGAGACAGAAATTGAATACTGCTTGCTCTAACATTTACCCATTAAAACATGACCTCATAAATGACCTATATGCTATTTACATTTCTAAATTGTTCTTGAAATCTTCCAGAAAATACAAGTAATTTCTTTTCTTACTTCCTATGGCTATATCAAAATATTAACTATTTTTCAAAATATAAAGGAACTTTGAATTTTAGCATAGAAAAATGATGAAAAACATGACAGGATTTTAAGTTGACTTTTCATATTTAATTGAAAGCTGTATTAATAACAAACCATAAACAAAGATATCCAATGTCTCAGAAAAAATATTTTAAAATACACTGCCCTGAGTATTTATAAAAGGTCAAAAATATATAATTTTAAATTTTAATGCTTAAGTTAACATGTTTGCTAAGGCTAACATAAGATTTTAAATATTCCAACTCCTTGTGGACATTTTTCTCCCTTGAAAGCTGTATACTTTGCAGGGTTCCTAGTTTCAAAGGATATGCAGTTTGCATATAAGAATTTTTAATCCAGGTAGAAATTATTTGTAGTAGCACTTTCCAGTGGAAAAATTATTTATACTGCGTAGAGAAATTGGGGCTTCTGTTTATTTTAATATCATCCTACCAAATGTATATCCCAAGAAGGTGCAATAAATTGTGTAATAAATGGAGTTTGATCAAACTCATTTACCGTCAAATAAAGTATCGTTCATTTAAAAAGTTGCCATTTTCAATTTTAGTTTATAGAATGAAATTCTGCATAGATAATTAGGGGTGCTGCAGAGAAAAAAGAAAGCACCATGGAAACTATTTCTCTACTTGTATTAATGCAAGGAAACTGCAAACACAGACTAGCAACTGATGCCTCTATGTCTTGGTTTTCTCAATGCTATAACGAAGGGAGTGGGTTTGCTGATTCATTTTTGTTCTAACAGTCTGCAAGAATTGATTGTGTTCTCAGGCTGTTTTTTGGCATTTGTATTTAGTAGGGCCAGGAAGACAATTTTTTTAAGTGGCTGTCTATGTTTTTATGTGACTTGGAGACATATTTTGGTGTGATTTTGTGTCAAAGATGTAGTGTCAGTTAAAGAAATTGCCTTTATGAGAATATTATAGGTCCTTTATGATTAAATATATGTATGTTTCCATGTTTATCTCTCTATGTGTAAAAACGTAACATAGAAATACTTTTTCCCTGTAGATGCAAAGTTGGACTAGTACCAAATTGATCAGATTAAATCTGAGGCTTTCCTAAATTTACCCAAATCAAATCCAAGCCCAAACATCTAAGTGATATCGTGGTCATTAACCCCAATCACAACACAGACAGTCTTGGCTAAAGGACTCATGGCTGTTACTTAGAATACATAAAATATTGATAAAGTAGAAACTAATGAAACCGGCCTAATACAGACCTTCAACACCCTTGCTTCCAGCAAAACATGGTACCTACCCTGGTGTAGCAGTAGCCAGCACACCAAGTGGTGTTGATGCTTATGCAGAAACGACATTCTTCTTTCTCTATTGCAATGGTGATGTTGGTCAGCTCACAGCTATTGCAGCAGATTGCTTTCCAGCAACAGAAAAGGAAGAAAAACTGGAGTGTCTTCATCCTGGTCTGGGAAGCAAACAATGAAGCCCACTAGAAACTGAGAAACCAAAGAACGATAATCATTATGTAAGCTGACCAAACCAAAAATAATTGGTCTGCTCATCCTCCTCAATCACATTTTGCTTCAAAAGTTTTTTTTCCTTCCTTATGCCTTTTTACTTACATCTTTGTTTCTTGGAACAACATTTTTCCTTGTCCTTCTTCAATTTTTGGGTCAGGGTGGGAATATATTATAGATCAAAACTCCAATATAATGATTTAAGCAGAGGAATATTTAAAGATTAGAATCTTATTGCTGACTGTCATAAAGTAATTACTCTGATAATTGTGATCATCATATTTGTTCTTCCATTATTATTTTAAAGTCTATTTTTGTCTGAAAAGAAAAATAAAATTCTTTTCTTTTCTTGAGACAGGGTCTTGCTCTGTTGCCCAGGCTGGAGTGCAGTGGTATAATCATGAATCACTGCATCTTCAACCTTCCAGGCTCAAGCAATCCTCTGACCTTGGCCTCCCAAAGTGCTGGGATTACAAGCATGAGCCACCATTCCTGGCCAAGAAAATTCTATACTACAAAATTATGTCTTCATTTTTAGAATCTCATAAATATTTTCTTTTGCTCACATTTGTTTAAAATAAGACCATTTCAGAAGAGAGGCATATTGGTCTATAAAGTCAGTTACTTGCTAACAGTGATTACGTTATATTAACCATATTTTACAAGCCAGGTTGACAAGCATAAATTTCCTACACAACAGTAGTGAGAAGCTCTAGTTTTGTCCTCCATGTCCTGACAAATCTGTAATTTCAAAAGTAGCTGTCACCACTTGAAAACGGTAGATGCCAAGACTCACCTGTGGTCGGCTGCCTTGCCTGGCAAGAGCTGTAGACTGAATGAAATCTCAGTTCACCTTTTATACAAAATCATGTGCAACTAACACCTTGTGGATTTGTTGGGTATTAATATGACCAATGCTAGCCTGAAGCTTGCTGTAAGTGAATCAGTGTTTAGATAGACAGGGAGATCAAGCTTTACTAAAGTAGTCTAAACGCAGTAGATTAGAAAAAATAATGTTACTAGAGATGATGATTTTGTACAAATTAAATTTGATACAGTAGCACACCCACTCCTTTACCTTCTCAAATTAATTGTGACTCCAGATTTTTCTTTTGTATCTTTAAATCAGGAAATTCAGAGTCCTTTCCAAGTATTGCTTTGACTCTGTTCAGGAGATGCATTAAAAAATATGGTTAATAAATTGCTCCAAGAGCATATCAAAAGCTGTGAAGGAAGAAACAAACAAAGAGAAAACATTTCATGATCTGGCTCCTGTCTAAAGTGTGAACTGTATCTCTCTTTCCCTCCCACATTCTGGCCCCCTAATCACAAATCTTTATTTTTTGATGTTTTAGCAAGAACTTTCTACTTTACTTGTAATTCCATAAATATGTTGCTGATTCATATCTTTAGATCTTTGCATGTAATGTTCTTCCTGCCTGAAATGTCCTTGCTTCCTCCCTGCCTCCTCCAACACCACCCTGAACCCTGGCAAATTCCTCAACCTTCAACATCCAGGGGAGTTTCACCTGTCAAAGTTTAGGATGGGAGGTGAGGGAGAACCATAATCACTACCTTCTGTGTGTAACCATTTATAGGCTCTTGTTTCCTCCAATAAACTATGATCTCTTTGGAGACTAGGATTGCTTTGTTTAATAAATATTTACTAATCAAACAGTGTGACTGGAGCAAAAGGACAACAGCAGTAATATTAGAATATGATGTCAGAGAGATAACAGGAGTCAAATGTTGGAACTTGTAGACCAGTGTAAGGGCTCTGGTTTGTACTCTTTGTGTAATGGGACCCATTGAAGGATTTTAAGTAGAGGAGTGACGTGACATGATCTGATTGAGTTCTAAAAGGACTCCTCTGACTGCTGTGTTGCTAATATAGGGGAACCAAGAAACAGGAAGACCCGTTAGGATGCTATCAATAACCCAGGTGAGAAATGATGTTTGTTCAATAACCCAGGTGAGAAATGATGTTTGTTCAGACTAGTATGGTAGCTATTGGAGGTAATGAGACATGCTCTGACTCTGTATGCATTTTGAAAGTAGAACCAACAAAATTTTCTGATGGATAGATGTTGAGTGTGAGAGGAGGAAAAGGGTCAAGGATGGCTCTAAAGATTCTGGTTTGAGTAGCTGGAAGGATAAACTTGCTATCAGCTGAAAGGGGATGGCTGTAAATGTCGAAGTTTGGGAAAAGGAAATGGAGTTCAGTATGCACATGTTGAGCTTGAGTTGTTTGTACTACATCCAGGAGATAATGAAGTTTCTTTTTCCTCTTTCCAAAGGAGACTGAGGAGGGCCATTGAGGAAAGTAGGAATGGGGAGAATATGGTGTCCCAAAAGCCAAATAAAGAGAGCATCTCAGGGAGGAGCCAGTGACACCTGTGTCAGATACTGCTGACAGGTTAAGTAAGATGAGGATCAAGAACTTCACAATGCATATGCGATGTAAAGTTCGCTACTGTCCTTGGCTGTAAAAGTTACTTTGGAATGATGAAAACAAAAACCTGATTGGTATGTGTTTAAGTGATTTGGAGGAGATAAGTCATAGTGAATATAGACAATTTTTCCAAGAGCTTTTTTTTACAAAGATCAATAAAGAAATGGGTATTTGGTTAATGTGGATGTTGGGTAAAAATAACTTTCTTTTGTTTTATTTTTATTTTTTATTTTTGAGATGGAGTCTCACTCTGTCACCCAGGCTGGAGTGCAAGGGCACAATCTCGGCTCACTGCAACCTCTGCCTCCCGGGTTCAAGCCATTCTCTGGCCTCAGCCTCCCAAGTACCTGAGACTACAGGCATGTGCCACCATGCCTGGCTAATTTTTGTATTTTTAGTAGAGATGGGTTTCACCATGTTGGCCAGGCTGGTCTTGAACTCCTAACCTTAAGTCATCCAACCCTCCTTGGCCTCCCAAAGTGTTGGGATTACAGGCGTGAGCCACCGTGCCTGGCCGCAGACAATTTTCTTTTGATTTTTAACTTTAAGATGGGAGAAATAAACACGTTTGTATGGTGATAGGAATGATTGAGTAAAGTGGAAAAAGTTGGTATCAGAAGGAGAGAGAAGTTCTGAAGTGTACTTGAAGAGGTAAAAGGAAATGGGTTATAGAAGAGGAGTGGAAGCATTGTCTTTAGGCAGAACCATGGAGAGCTCATCCCGTATTAGGCAAGAAGGCAGAGCTTGATGGTGCAGATGCTAGCGAGTGGGCAAGTGTGATGGATGCAGACTCTGGTGGGTGAGGAGGGGTTGTGGGTGCAGATGCTGGTGGGTGGAGAGGTGGTGAGTGAAGATGCTGGTAGGTAGGGAAATGTGGTGGGTGCAGATGCTTGTGGATGGGGAGGAGTGATGGGTGCAGATGGTGATGGCTGGAAGGTGTGGTGAGTGTACATGGTGGTGGGTGGGCGGTGTGGTGGGTGCAGATGCTGGTAGGTTGGGAGGGGTGGTTGGTATAGATAATGGTGGGTGGGGAGGGGTGGTGGGTGCAGATGCTGGTGGGTAGAGGAAGGTGGTAGGTATAGATCTGTACCTACCACACTTTGCCTGTTAACAGCAGGGGTTCAGGCACGTGGGTTACCAAAAGTTGGATTCATCTAGGATTATGATTTTATAAAATATGTTTGACAAAGACAAAACTTAGCATAGCAGTACACATTGTAAGTACCAAATCAATATTTATGTAAATGAATATTGTGAGTATAGAAATATTTTGAAATCTGTCAGTAATTGGTAAGCAAGCATATTTCCAAGTTATAGAATGAATAAATTTTATATTATGTATATTAAATAAAAATACTAATGATTCTTGGAAAATTATAAATCTTTTCATTTTTTCCAAAGGAATGCTAACATTACTATATCTATTGCTAATACCTTGTATTATGAAAGAAAACAAAGTTTTTCATATTACCTATGTATAATCACAAGATTTATTTGTGTGAATGTAAATGAACCACTTTGTTTTAATGACTAATATGTACATAGTATTAGTTCCTTAAATTCATTTTTAAAATATTAATATTAATAGCTTCTTTTTCATTGAGTACCTCCTATGTCCCAGGTGAAACTGCCTTTGCAAAGGTTATGACAGTGAGATAAATCTAGCATGGCTGACTCCATCTTGCCTCTAGCCTCACAGGCTGGCTGTTCTCACTCATTCTTAGGTGTAGGCCAAGCTAACCATGGGAGGAATTTAGTTTATAGTTTAACGAAGCAAGGATAATAGTCCTATCCTAAAACTAACCCCCTCCTTGCTCAGGGACTGAAAATGGCCTTTCTAAACAAATGAAATGCTGTGAGATTAGGATTATGGGGGGACCTGAATTCTGATAAGATATAGGCATGGTTTTTATAATCCCTTACTAGTTCAGGAGTTATGTGTCCAGAGGTCACAAGATTTGTTACTTCCCCAATTGCTCCTATAGATAATATCATTATTGTGGAGCCTACAGTTGATCATTTGAGACATTTTTCAGGCTTTTGCATTCTGGCAACAAACTGACTCCACTTGGACGCATGCTTCATGACTCAACTGGTCGTGTGGCCTACACCCGGAAGCAGACTCAATGAAGGAGGACAGTTTTCCACAATCTTACTATTTCATTCCCCAACCAATCAGCAGCACCCATTCCCTAGTCCCCTGCCCACCAAATTATCCATAAAACCCTAGCCTCTGAGTTTTCAGGGAGACTGATTTGAATAATAACTCCAGTCCTCCCGTTTGACCTACATTAATTAGATTTGTTCTTTGCTGCAATTCCATGATTTCAGTGAATCAGTTTTGTCTGTGCAGTGAGCTAGAAGAGCACATTGGACAATTACACAGGCATTTAACTAAACATGTTAAATAGAAGTTCATATACAATATTTACAATAACACAATAACCTTTTTTTTTTTAGACAAGGTCTCACTGTGTCACCCAGGCTTGAGTACAGTGGTACAATCTTGGCTCACTGCAACCCTCTGCTTTCCAGACTCAAGTGATGCTCATGCCTCGGCCTCCCAGGTAGCTGGAATTCCAGGTGTGTGCCACCACACCCAGCAAAATTTTTTAAATTTCTTTTTGTAGAGACAGAGTTTCACCATGTTGGCCAGGCTAGTTTCCAACTCCTGGCCTCAAGTGATCCACTAGCCTCCGCCTCCCAAAGTGCTGCGATTACAGGCGTGAGCCACTGCACCCAGCCTACAATAACCTTTTAAAGAAGTTACTGTTCTTCTTTGAAAGATGAGAAAACTGAGGATAAATGCAACCTGTAAGTAGCAAAGCTGGGGTTCATATTCAGGTCAGTTTGACTCCAAAGCCAGGGGACTATTCATTGAGCCATGGTGACCTCAGTGGTCTACAGTTCTCATCAATCCCATTAATTGGAGAGACCCCAAGACAGAAATCATCCAAAGTTTGGGCCACTATTCTAAATGCCCATATTTATATTTCCACCTGCAGTTAGGTCAGAGATTCCCACAAACAGCTCTGAATTTGGCCTGTCAAGAGGCCCCCAGACCTTTCTCTCAATTCTAAGCCTCTTATGGCTAGCTCATCTCATTAGCATATTTGCTAGTTAATGCCATTACTCTCATTGAGGTTTTTGAAATATTTTATTGATAAAAATTTAGAGTTCTTTTTTATTCACCTTTGAATTCCCCAAAATAAATAGAATTTCTGTTACATAATAGTTACTGAAATACTTTTCTTGAACCAAATGAAAAAAGAAATCACTCATCATTTCTTTTATGTTGGGTTGGTCCATAGCCTGTTTGCTATCAAATGCATTCCTTGTTTTTGCTTGGTTTTGTGCTCTGTTTTGTGGGAGAAAGGACCTTGGCAGGCTGCTTTTCCCACTCTGCTGTATTAGCAGGTTTTTGCCTTTGTGAATGGAGATTGGAAAGTGAATGCAAGGAAGCAGTTGGAGTATTTCTCTCTACCTTTTACATTCTGCTTCCCTTCCTGGTAGTGACTGCATGATCTCCCTGGCTCCAGATCCCATTGGACAGCTCCTCCTGGTGGTCCCAGCTTTTGTGAGGAAACCCCAGCTGTGGTTTGAGCTTCTGCTAGGTGGTCTCACCTTCTGGCTTCTGGGAACCCCACCTATGTCCCTCCAATCCTGCACATAAATGGAGCTTGTCACTAATACTTATCTCTGATTGCCTCATATTCCCTGTCTGGCTTTTCAGCAATCTAATACTTGAGCAACCAAATCTCTGGATTAATGAATTCCCTGATTTTCCTCTATTTTGCATATCAGGTGTGATTTCTGTTTTCCTGACTAGAAACTGGCTGATACACCTTCCTTTATTTCTAGAAAATATTCCCTCTAGAAATAAAACTCTCTTGGGCTTTTTTCTTCTTTCTATATAAAAGCAACTCTTGGGCTTTAATACAGTGATATATCACTCAATATTTAACAAATGACCGAACATTATTTAGGGAAGTCCTATGTCAAATTCACCTATATTGGCTTAAAGCACCTCCCACCACCTCAAAGTCACATGTATTCTTTTTGCTTCTTCTTTGAAGGTAATAAGGTTCTAGTCCCTCTGCCTGATACATGTTTCTCCTCTTCTTTTCACCTAAGCTACTCCTACAAGTACTTCAAAACTCCATTTAAAGGTAGCTTCTAGGAGACATTCACTTACCCTGCCTTACACAGCCTCCAATGCCCAACTCTCAGTTCAGCACTTTCTGTCTTACGCTTCCTTAGTTCCCAGTTCCTACCTCAGTGGTAACACTCATCACATTCTACTTTAAATGCACAGCTGACTTCTTTTGTGAATTCTGGTAAACCAATGTCTTCAATTGCTGGAAGATCTCTTGAATTTCTGTGCATATACTCAACAGCCTATGTTGTTCTTTCATTTATGAAGATTTTCCCCCAAAATTATTCCTTTATGTTTGGTTTATATATATATATATATATATATTTTATATATGTTTATATATTATATATAATATATATATTTATATATTATATATTTATATATGTTTATGTATCTATTATATGTGTGTATATATACATATTTTTTGAGACAGAATCTTACTCTGTCACCCAGGCTGGAGTGAAGTGGCACAGTCTCAGCTCACTGCAACCTCTGCCTCCCAGGTTCAAGTGATTCTTGTGCCTCAGCCACCAGAGTAGCTGGGACTAAAGGCACACCACCACCATGACTGGTTAATTTTAGTATTTTTAGTAGAGACAGGATTTCGCCATGTTGGCCAGGCTGGTCTCAAAATCCTAGACTCAAGCAATCCACCCACCTTGGCTTCCTAAAGTGTTGGGATTACAGGTGTGAGCCACCATGCCTGGCCTCAAAATAGGAAATTAAGCACCCGTGTTCATGCCTTGATAAATTACCTGCTCCTTCTATGTTCTCGGATCCTTTCCTCCTTTCCTTTGCCCATGTGATATATGTTTTACAATGTAAGGTTTTAAATGTTTAATATATTTTATTTTCTAATTATTTTATTCTTTTTTGTCATTTAAAATATTATTTAGAAATATCTACTTTATTTAAATTATAAAGTAATAAATAACATATATGATATACATTTCCATAGAAAGTGCCAACATTTTATTAAGTTTTTACCCTATCTAATAACACAACAATGGTAATATAACATTTCACTGTCCAGTGTAGTAGCCACCAACCACAGGTGGCTCATTAGCACTTGAAATTCAGTTAGTCCAAATTAAGATATACACTATAAGTGTAAAATACACACTGGGTTTCAAAGACAAAATAAAGCATATAATATATCCCATTAATACTTTTTATCTTGATTATATTTGAAATGAAAATATTTTGGATATATTAGGCTAAAAAATTGTTATTAAGATCTCACCTATTCCTTTTTATTTTGGCCTTTAAAATGTGGCTACCAGAAGATTTTAAATCACGTAAGTCTTTCACATTATGTTTCTATTGGACAGCACTGATGTAGAACTTGCCAGCTAATAAGTAAATTTGCAGTGGTCACAAGATGTGCTTACTGGTCTAATGTCTGGCACATGTGCATTACACATTGCCAGATTAGGTGGACTAATATAACCATAAAAAATAATAAAATAAGAAGCCCACTGGTTGCCAATGTTTATTAATATGAAGACACAATAATGTACTGTATATTTTTCAGTGAGATTCAATCTTCGTATTAGCAGGAAAACTTCTTATTCTCATCCATCGAGGCAGTCAGATGGAACTATTTCATCAGATGAGACGCTAGAAAAACAATACAAAATCAGCTGTCCATTTCTACTGTATTTTCTTTCCTTAGAGCAATATGGAGCAAATGGCATAGAGTGCTCCTGATAGGAGCTCTTTTAAATGCAGGTAATGGCACTCAGAATATTCCATGATGATGTTCCAGTAAGAAGTCAGTACATTTGGTATCAGTCAACTGATAATGCATGAAGCTAAAAATATTTCCTAGGCTTGATAGCATTTGGAACCTGCATAAAGTAAGCATTCAATAAATACTTACGAATTTGATTTTGTTTTGATGCTGGTTGGCAAGTTTCTAGCATAAAGCACTGAGAATGATGTGTATATCCAAGTGATTAACAATATATTGATGCTTCATGTGGGCTATGCTGAAAGGACAGTAATCCACCGATGGGCCAGCAGTTACCCCCAGTACAAAATGCAAATGCCAGTTGATTTCATATATTTGTGTTTTAGGAAAGAGCAGAATATATAATGCACACACATACAGACACACACACATATAAAGTACTGAAGTGACAGTTTATGGTGTGTTCACATCTTAAGTTTGTGCATATCCTTTGAGGAAAGTGTTGTCCTCATGCTACACAGTATAAACATTGATTGAGCACTTACTCTGTAGCAATCACTGTGCTAAATGTTTATATGCATTGTACCACTGAATGCTGTCACCAGCCGTATGATGTACATATTATAATTATTTGTACATTACAAATAAAGAAATGAGGGTCAGGGAAGTGCATTAAGGTGGCCAATGTAATAGTAAGTAGAAAAGCATTAATTCCAGACTATGCAAGGAGACTCCAGCATCCCTCATATTACTTCAGTCTCATAAACTTTGCTAGACAGACTGACTTAGTGGATGAGAAGCATCCAAGGACTGAAGGGCATCATTACTATTCAACATCAACATGGTGTGTTTTTTGAATTTTTGGATAAATTCTATTTGATTCCTTCACCAGGAAAAGCAGGACCAACTGGGGAGACTGGAGAAACAGAACGTTAGGAAGAAAATGGAAGAAAAAGATAAGCAAACTGTACAGTGAATCATTAATCCAAGTAGGTGCATTAGAAAGTTAGATACTAAAGAATGAGTTATCTTTTAAGATATAAGTGCCAGGCTTAATGCTAAGCACTTTATATGTGTCATTTAAATGTATTTAATCCTCACAACCCTAAAAAAGTTCTATAATCATCTCTATTTTAGAGATAAGGAAACTGTGACACAGACAGTTCAAATATCTTTACCAAGGCCACATGGCTGGTAAACAGGATAGCTGAAATTCAAACTCCAGGTGTCTAGTTCTAGTGCTTGCACTTTTACCACTATGCCATTCTACCACCCACTCTTTTCAGAATAAAATCGAGCCCATTTTAGAATAAATATATGTGCCTCTCCATGCCCTCGACAGTGAATTTTTACTCCTCTGTGTGCATATGTGCACACACATCTGTGTGTAGAGGAAATTGTGCTAAAAGACCAAGATCTGTTTTTCCACCTACCAAAGAAAGTTCCTCATAATAAAACCTGTCATTGTCAGAATGCATGAGGAAAAAAATGGAGCGGGAAGTATTTCTTAGATAATTTAACTATCACTAGAGCATAGACAAGTCACCCTAAATATTCCATATACTAGCCTGCGTTATCTAGCTTCCTTGTATTTAGATTGGGGTCATGTGACTAGTTCCAGCCAATGTACTATGCACAGAAGTGAATTGTATTATACATAGACTGAGGTGGAAAAGTCTCTTCTGTGAGTACTGTAGGGACTTTATTTTCCAGGTGCTACAGCTAAAAGTTGGCAGAGATTCTGGCAGCATGTATCCTTGAGTGACTGTGTGAAGCATAATCTCCTCTGACTCATGTTAGATATTTAGTATGGAAAAGAAATTAACCTTTATTGTGTTAAGTCATTGAGAATTTCAGGTTCTTTTGTTAGTGCACTATAATCCAGTATATTCCGACTAATAGATATCTTACCTGGAGGGCATCTCAGCAGTGTGCTTGACTTTGTATGATGCCAGACCACAGGGACGGAAGGTATATACAGTGTATATATGTATAGCCAGGATCTTCTGTAACATAATTTTCAGAATTGTCCTCTTTGCTTTTCCAAGTCTCAATCCATATCATGACTCTGTCCACTCTGTGCCTCTTCTGATCCTCCAGCAGAGCAGGAATAAAACTATAGCATCTACATAACTCTATTGCCTGGATTTGTTCCCTCCCTTAAAGCAGTTTAGAATTACTAGGTGCTTTCTATCTTTCCATTGCTTTTAAACAAACAGTAACAGAAGCAACAATGACAGCAAAATTTAATACTCCAGAAAATTATAAAAAGAAAAACAACTACCAGCTGATTTTATAGCTACTCTGCTTGTCCTAAATGGCCAACGGTAGCCTCCTTTGCAAACAAGATTGCTAGAATCTGAAATTTTGCCCAAGGAAAATAATTTATGTTATAAAAATCTAATCCTGTATACAATAATAACAATCAAATATAGGAAGCAGGTTGAGACAACAGGTTGATGCTACGAGTCTTCATAAATATTGGTGATTTCTATGAAATTATTTTCTCTCTTTGATAGACCAATGCCCCTCACCGAATCATCTAATATTAGACCAATTCCTTTGTTTCTGGTCCCTTGCTCTCTTGACATTTATCTGCCACATTCATTAAGGAACCCCAAAAGAGAATGGAGATAATTTTGAATGAAAGAATGGATTTTAAAGGAGAGAGAAATAATTTACTCCTTTAATTCTACTTTGTTTCTAGAATTATTTATATCACATTTCAAAAATTGCTTTCACATTTTAATCTCAGTTTACTCCCAGAATTTCCTCAGAGCAATCTTTTAAGGTGGGAGGGTAAACATTACCTGAAGATTGCTTGAGAACAGGCGTTCAAGATTAGCTTGGGCAACATAGCAAAACCCTGTCTCTATAAATATAAAAATAATCAAACAAACAAAATAATGTAGTCAAAGTCATCATCTCAGAGCAGAGAGTTAAAACCCTGAGTGACTTGCCTATGGTTATATTGAATGGCAGACTTTTTATAAAAACATGTAATTTAAAGCATTCTATTTTGGGTGGCTCTGGAGTCTATTTTTGGCACAGAAAAAGGTAGCAACGTTAGGAGCACAATGTGGCAGAGACTGCCAATTGTCCCTTGATAGTCAATCTCCCTCTATTCTGCCATAGGAATAGAATTTTTAGGCAGGCATATGGCTGCCCAGAAAAAGAGTCAATGTTCCACCTTCCACTTTCCTTGCAGCCAGGAATGGCCTTGCGTTGAGGAACAAGATGTAAGTAGAATGCTGTGTGGCAGCTTTCAGGAACTGTAGGAGATAGGTGGCAAGCAACTTTTGTTCCTTCTTTTTCATACTTTCTCCATACTGCTCCTCGTAATGTGGATATGTCGTCTTGAGCTAAGATACTGAGTGGGTGGGGTAGTGACCTAAAAGGCACCTGAGTTGCCAAGGACTTTTCAAAACTACCAGTCCAGCCTTAAACTGCGTAACTTTAGAATTTCACATAAGACAGGAAACAATCTGTATTCTATTTAGGTCACAATATTTTGGGTCTCCGTTACTTTTAGTTGAATGAATCTAACTCAAAAATGAAGCTGGAAACCATCATTCTCAGCAACCTAACACAGGAACAGAAAGCCAAATACCCCATGTTCTCACTCATTAGTGGGAGTCGAACAATGGACATAGGGAGGGGAACAACACACACTGGGGCCTGTTGGGGGGTTGGGGGCTAGAGGAGGGATAGCACTAGAAGAAATACCTAATGCAGATGATGGGTTGATGGGTGCAGCAAACCACCATGGCACGTGTATACCTGTATAACAAACCTTGAGGTTCTGCACATGTATCCCAGAACTTAAACTATAATAATAATTTTAAAATGGGTATTTTGGCTGGGCATGGCAGCTTATACTTGTGATCCGAGCACTTTAGGAGGCTGAGGCTGGAAGATCGCTTGAGAACAGGAGTTCAAGATTAGCTTGGGCAACATAGCAAAACCCTGTCTCTATAAAAATAAAAATAATCAAACAAAATAATGTAGTCAAAGTCATCATCTCAGGGCAGAGATCCGATTCTTAGGTCAAATATGTACGATAATTATCCTTGATAGAGTCTGTGGAGGGCAGAGAATGCCTATGGTCCCTTGAGATTAGCCTGAGAGTGAATCCTGGCCCTGTGATCTTAGAAATATCAAAACTGATGAAATTGCCATTTCTAGACTGCAGCTTTTTGTCTTCTAAAACCTGGATATTTTCATGCATCTTTGGTGCAGAATTTTCTAGATGAACATACATGTGACATGAGGGATGTTCTGTCTCCATTTCCTTCCTTCTTCTTCCTTCCAGTGTTGGTAGAAAAACAGTCTTCTAGCATAGTATGTTGATGTGTGCTGCTGGAGGTAAGAAGGGAATATTTGGATTGTAGATGCCCAGCTATGAAGAATGCCTGCAGCTATGGAGGAACTAGGAAGAAATGTATCTATGACTTTGATCTGAGAGAAGGGAAACAGCAAGCCAGGAGCAGAAGGGTAGAAAAGGGAAGCTGGGGGAGATGAGAGGATTCCCAAGTGCTGACTCAGTATAGGTCTAAAGTGATCAGGAAAAATGAAGAATTTAAATGACTTTTTATGTGTGTTGTTGAGAGATTAACAAGAAGCTTGCTTCCATTACTGTATTGTATTCATCTGCCCTTATGTCTGCTCAGTGCTGTGGGTCTAGGAAAGGGGTTACATAGAGTAGAGCCTTTCTTATAAAATGGACATTTTTGTGGCAGTGTGACTGGGGGGACCACTTAGAAGGAAAATAGCCTGTTGGTAAAATGAGAACTTAAAGCAATATATTTTTTAATGACTAGACTTAGACTGTCCTGATGAGGAAGAACTGTTCCTTATAGTTGGAGAAAGATGTGTGTGCTCTTGCTTGGGGTCTTGCTCAAGGCAGATGAAAGAACTGTTTTCTTTGGGGCTCAGTGACAAAGTAGGGCACAGCGTTAGAGGGAGAGGAGCATTCTTCTATTTCATCAGGGAAGCCAGCATCCCTCTCCCATTCATGTAGTTCAACACCAGCATTGTTGGCAAGAACTTTGGCATTCATGCAGCTGGCATCATGTGCAGTGAGGACTGCTCTCAAGTAGTTCCCGGGTCCTAGGGAATGAGAGCTAGAGCAAGGGTAGGAAACATGGCAGACATTCGGGGGAGAATGAAACTGACAACTGATTGATGGGCATATGAGTCACCCTTTTGTAGACCTCCTAAAGAGTTGAGGACACTTTGGGGAAGGGAACATTAGGATTCTCACCGCGATGGTGGGAAAAGGAGGGGCTAAGGGCCATCAAAATCTGGGCATAGGGTGTGTCATAGGGTAATAGAGGACTCATCAAAATAGCAGACTTAAGGTTTTTTAGACAAAAGGAGGCTGTACAAAGGCCTAGAGAAAAGTGAGAACACAGCACCTTCTCAGAGCTCAGAGTGCAAGAAATTCTAAAAGGGCATGTGGTTGACAATTGTGCAGCAGAGACCATAACTTTACGTAGCAACTAGTAAGAATGCCAGCTAACCAGCTTAATGTCTTAGCTCTAGCTCCTTTTAGGGATCAATTCTGGGGAGATTCAAAGAGGGTTTTCATTTTTAAAAGCAAAAAGAACCAGGCTCCAGTCAATACAGAATCTTATTCAGATTTTAAAATATGAGATGAATGAAATACTACAAAGTCATATAAAAGAACAAAATTATGTCCTTTGCAGCAACATGGATGCAGCTGGAGACCATTATCGTAAGCAAATTAACACAGGAACAGAAAACCTAATTCCTCCTGTTCTCACTTATAAGTGGGAGCTAAGCATTGAGTATACATGAACATAAAGACCCTGAGGATTACTAGAGAAAGGAGAATGGGATGAGGGCCAAAGGCTGAACGACTTCCTGTTGGGTCCTATGCTTACTACCTGGGTGATGGGATCAATCGTATCCCAAACCGCAGCATCACACAATGTGCCCATGTAACGAACCTACACATGTACCCCTGAACTTAAAAGTTGAAGTTTCTTAAAAAATGAAGGCAAGGATGGGCGCAGTGGCTCACGCCTGTAATCCCAGCACTTTGGGAGGCTGAGGCGGGCAGATCAGGAGGTCAGGAGATCGAGACCATCCTGGCCAAGATAGTGAAACTCCATCACTACTAAAAATACAAAAATTAGCTGGGCGTGGTGGCTCATGCCTCTAGTCCCAGTTACTCGGGAGGCTGAGGCAGCAGAATCACTTGAACCTGGGAGGCAGAGGTTGCAGTGAGCCGGGATGGTGCCACTGCACTCCAGCCTGGCAACAGAGTGAGACTCTGTCTCAAAAAAAAAAAAAGAAAAAGAAAAAAGAAAAGAAGGCAAAATAAAGGTGTTTTCAAACAAACAGAAAAAATGAAATGAAATTTTTATAACATAAACAAATAAATAAATAAAGTAAATACATCTCCCTTTTGGCACCATGGTATTTTTATTCAGTATCAGTCATTTTTCCATTCTCAGATCAGCAAATCTCTAATATAATAACAAAAAAGCTAAGTACTTCTATCTCTGAGCAATTTCTTTTGATATGACATTTCTACAGACACTACTATTTTTAAAGGGACAATCCTGAAAGAATAATTTTTTTTTTTAAAGAGTGCTTTTGTGTGAGTTGGTACATTTAAGGATTAAAAAAATATAGGTCATAGGGCTTTTGAAGTAGGTGGAAAGAGCATATATTATAGTCTCGTGTACTATTCTGGAAGATGACAAGCAGCTTAATTTTAGTAAACTAAGTTGACCCTAGAATGATAAGAGACATAAAAAGGCCATTGTGATTTGTAACTTGAGCAGATAGGTTGTGAGGTAATTAAGAGTGTTTGCCGCAGCAGCAACTGCCTGGTTTTCATTCTTGCCACCCCTGCTCCTGCCTCAGATGTACAAAACAACACCAACTTTTGCACAAGTAGATCTCTGAAAATTCTTACTGATTACTGAGAATCTTTTCAGTTCTATATATGGAGAGACTTACCCTTGATAACAAATGGCTCTTTCTAGAAACATAATAGTAATAGTAATCATTGTATCAAAGAGATAGATATCTGTACCCTTACGTTCATAGCAGCATCGTGCGTAATAGTCAAGATACAAAAACCACCTAAGTGTCTATCATAGATAGGATAAATGGGTAAAAAAAAGTGTGGTCTGTGTATACGTGTTTGTGTATATCCTTATATATATGTATATATGTACACACATATATACACAGACCACATTTTCAAAATATAATATTATTGATGCAGGAGTTAAAAAGAACTTATTTAGGCAGATAGTGAGAGTAAGAAAGTCCTCAGTAAGGTTTTCCTTTTAATGAAAAGCATCCCCAAAATAATTTCTTTCTAACAAAAAGCAACCTGTAAAATCAAGCCATAGACATAGATAAGGAAGCTGGAAGCTTGCAGTGGTGAATGCCAGCAGCTGTGCCTATAGGAAAAGGCTACCTGGGGGCTAGGCATGTCCAACATGGAGGCTCCATCTTCCCTTTTCCTTGTCAACCACGTGCACAGTAAGGAGCAGACAACATGGCGCTGGCCAAGTGGAGACTCCATTTGCATAATAAAAGATTAGAGTGTGGTGGCCAGCTTCCTCTTGCACTATGTAACCATCACACTTAGTCCAACCAATCTTTGGGCCCTATGTAAATCAGACATCACCACCTCACTCGTGTCTATAAAACCCTGTGCACTCTGCTGTGGGCCAGAAATCCCATTCAGGCGCCCTTCTCTCTCCAGGAGAGAGAGCTGTTCTCCTTTCTCTTTCTTTTGCCTATTAAACCTCCACTCCTCAACTCACTTCTTGTGTGTCTGCATACTTGATTGCCTTGGCATGAGACGACAAACCTTAGGTATTTACCCCAGACAATGATGCCACTTCATTATATTAACATAATATTTCTCTCCCTCCCTCTCACTCTCTCTCCCTGGCCATATACATATATATGTATCTGTATATATGTGTGTGTGTGTGTGTGTGTATGTATATATATATGTGTGTGTATATATATATGTGTGTGTGTATATATATATATATATATATTTAGCATTATGTCCTCCAGGTTCATCCATGTTGTCACAAATGGCAGGATTTCCTTCCTTCTTTTTTAATGCTGCATAATATTTCTCTCTCTCTAGGTGGAAAGCATTTAACAGCAACGTTGTAAACCAGTGTTTCTCAAAACGTAGTCCCTGGGCCAGCAGGATCAGCATCACCTGGGAACTTGATAAAAATGCAAATTGCTGTGCCTCACCCTGGATCTACTAAATCAGAAACTCTGGGGTGGAGCCCAGCAATCTGGTTTTAGAAGTCCTTCAGGTGATACTGATACATACTCAATTGAGAACCAGTGTTGTGGGCAAAGCTCTCTTGGTTTTAAAAAATAGGAATCTACTTAATCTAGTTCAAACAAATATATCTTACTGAAAACCAGAATAATTATGAGTAGCTAAAACAGGCAGTCTCTGAAATATTGGTGCCTTTACTTAGAAGTTTATTTTTTGCTTATGCTGTGGTCCCTTGTTGGTTGGAAGACCTCCATGTTGTAGATTTGATGTCTGGAACTCTTGGACTCTAAGGTTACTGCACAAGAGGAAAAGATAGCTGTAGGGTTAGATTTTCCACAGTGTTTTAAACTGCCAGGTCTGGCACATGAAAAAATGTTTAATATCACTAATCATTAGAGAAATGCAAATCAAAACCACAATGGGATACCATCTCACATCGGTCAGAATGGCTATTACTAAAAAGTAAAAAACTAACAGATGCTGGCGAGGTTGCAGAGAAAAGGGAACACTTATACATTGCTAGTGGGAATGTAAATTAGTTCAGCCATTCGGGAAAGCAGTTTGGTGATTTCTCAAATCAAACAGAACTACTATTTGACCCAATAATCCCATTACTGGGTATATACCCAAAGGAATATAAGTCATTCTACCATAAAGACACCAGCACACTTAGGTGCATCACAGCACTATTCACAATAGCAAAGACATGGAATCAACCTAGATGCCCATCAACAGTAGACTGGATAAAGAAAATGTTATGTGTATATATGTTATATACATATATAAATATATATAAATGTTATGTGTGTGTGTGTGTGTGTGTGTGTGTGTGTGTGTGTATGGAATACTATGCAGCCATATAAAAGAATGAAATTATGTCCTTTGCAGCAACATGGATACAGCTGGAGGCCATTATCCTAGGTGAATTAACACAGGAACAAATAACCAAATACCACAGGTTCTCATGTATAACTGGGAGATAAACATTGAGTACACATGGGCACAAAGACGGGAACAATAGACACTGGGGCTTACTTGAGGGTGGAGGGTGGGAGGGGGGTGAGGATTGAAAAACTACCTATCAGGTAGTATGCTCACTACCTGGGTGATGAAATCATTTGTTCACCAAACCCCAGTGACACGCAACTTACTCATGTAACAAACCTGCACATGTACCCCGCTGAACCTAAAATAAAAGTTGGAAGAAAAAAATACATAAACAAAATTATTGTTTTGCTGCCAGTAGAGTCTGTGGTCACCTGGGCTGGCACATGGGTAACAGCCAAGGGCCCTCACCTCCCTCCCAATTGATCCGGCCCCTCCAGAGGCTCCCCATTCTATTATGCATAGCCCTTTATTTCTATGTGGAATGAGGCTATAATTCTGCAAAACTGTTGCAATTTATTTTCTGCTAGACCAGTTAGCAAGAGTTCTCTAAATGTATTATTATCATAGGAAAATAGCAACAACAAAATAAAGTGCCAGGTCTGGAAGTGGCCTGTATCAGTGCTTCTCAGACTTTACTGTGAATTAGAATCACCTGAGACCTTGTTAAAATGAGGATTCTGACTCAGGAGGTCTCAGGTGGAACCCGGGATTCTGCATGTCTAACAATTGTCAAGGAGATGATGATGCCACTGTCCCTTAGAAGCAAGGGCTTATCTCTCTTCTGCACATATCTCATTAGGCCAAAGCCTTCTATTGGTCTCAGCCTAACTGCAAAGGGGTCAAGAAACATAGTCTTCATATGTGATCAGTAAGAGGCATTGTTTCTGCCACACGAGACTACAATAGCCACCTGTGTCCTAACTCCCAGAACTTGCCTTATTACCTTACAGAGGACAAAAAAGACTTTTAAGATGTGATTAAAAATCTTGAGATGGGGATATTATCCTGGATTATCTGGGTAGGTCCAATGTAATCACTAGGAGATTTTCCTGGAGTATTTGGGTGGGTTCAATGTAAAGGAGCAATGTGGAGATTATAATAGGGACATAATAGAGAAGATCATGTGACAACAAAAATAGAGGGAGGCAAGCTATGATATTGGAAGCAGAGGCTGGAGTGATGCCACAGCATCCATCACTGGAGTGTAGAAGGGGGCCACAAATCAGTGCATGGCAGTGGCCTCTACAAGCTGGAAAAGACAAGGAATGGATTCTCCCCTAATGCTTCAGAAGGAGTGCAGCTCTGCCAAGACATTGAATTTAGCACAGTGAGACCTATTTTTAACTTCTGAGCTCCAGAACTGTAGGATAATAAATGTATGATGCTTTAGTCACCAAGGTTGTGATAATTTGTTACAGCAGCAATGGAAAACTAATACAGTCACTCCCCTCACTCCTTTTTTTTCATACCTGTTCCTACTCTTCTCTCTTAGTGGGCTTTCATTGCGTTTTATCCTGTACATGACTCTGTGATATCGGCTCCAAGTCTATATGCTGATATTTTAGCCCACTTTCTTCCAATTGCTGGAATTTCCATCTCTTATACAGATTTTCAGGTGAAAAGAAATGTTTAGATAAGTTTATGAATGTGCCTCCTCTAGGGTCAGTTAATCTTGTCCTATTAAATATGATCAAGGATTAAGTTCACCTGGTTAATGTCCAGTTAGCAGGAGCTGATAATGGGACTAGTAATTATAAATGTATTGAATATACAAGAAAAGAAAAGAAAAAAGATTGTCTCATATTTATTAGTTACTATGCTAGATTCTTTGTGAGGATCAATGCTGAAGTAATGTATCCAAGGTCTCAAGATAATGTGTGGTAGAATCAAGACGTAAACCCTTATCTCACATCATTGTTTACACTCTCTCTGCATCTGGTTTTCAGAGAACACAGGAGCAGGTTAAACACTCAGAAAACAACCAGCTCTTTTTAAAGGTATAGACAAAGAAAAAAATACTTTGAGTATGTTTAACCTTCTAAATTGCCAAATTGATATGCTATTCACTTTTTAGGCTTTCTCTTACATGACTTTCACATATCATTTCACTATTGACTACTTTCCTTCTCTTTGAAAAATAATTTTTCTTGCACTTTTATTTTATTTTATTTATTTATTTTTATTTTTTTGAGATGGAGTTTCACTCTGTCACCAGGGCTGGAGTGCAGTGGCATCATCTTGGCTCACTGGAACCTCCGCCTCCCCAGTTCAAGCAATTCTCCTGCCTCAGCTTCCCAAGTAGCTGAGATTACAGGCACCCGCCATCACACTAGCTAATTTTTGTATTTCTGTAGAGATGAGGATTCACCATGTTGGCCGGGCTGGTCTCGAACTCCTGACCTCAAGCGATCTGCCTGCCTCGGCCTCCCAAAGTGCTGGGATTACAGGAGTGAGCCACTGTGTCAGGCCCCTGCACTTTTTAAATTTAACATTTTATCATGAACTGTTATCCATGTTATTGAATATTTTTATAAAACTTATTTTCTATTGTTGGATGAACTTTGGCTGATCTAACCACTTTCTTATGATTAAACAAGTTATTTTCATTTGTTTTTCATGATTACAAGGAATATTGTAAACATCCTTACTACCTTATTCTTCATCTGCATTTCTGATTTTTTCTTTAGGTCACATTACTAGAGGTAGGATTGCAGGAAGATATATATATATATATACACATATATATATATAATATATATATACACACACACATTTATGCCCATATTATTATCCATATCCATATCTACATCTACTATGGGGATATATATATTATATATA